>NW_019805492.1:0-195063 GCF_000001405.40 Homo sapiens | reverse complement strand
GCTAGCTTGAAGCAAGCTTACAGTGGCATGAAAGGAGGGATCCAGAGGCAGGACAAAGACAGGATTGCATATGACCGTTGCCAAGCAACCCAGATGTTCCTTATCTAGGTTTGCCTGTGCAGGGGCTTATCCTATAACCTTCACTGTGGGGCCCAGGCAGCTGTAGTTCAGGCCTACTCAGGCTTCTCATGACTTTTTTTGTACTTCTTAGATAAAACAGAATACTTAAAATCACTAGTTACAGACAACAAGAATCTATAAACTCATTCCATAAAGCAAAGGAAAATTTGTTTTTCTTCTCCCTGTGTTGAGGGGGTGCTGGGAGAGTCTCCAGAGCACATTAGATAATATTATCAAGACTTTTCCTAGGTCTGGGCTGTGCCTGTTGCTGCCTCTTGGACAAGTTAGCCTAAAACAGGAAAACTTTTTTCTCTTTTTAATTTTATTTTTCTTTAATTTCTCACCTCAACACAAGATTATTTCAGAATAACCAGCAGTTTCCTTGACCTTTTGCTTGCTTTTCTGAATATTTTGAATATAACACATTACTTTCTATTTTATTCCAGAGTATGCAAATGTGAATGATGTGAAACATCACTGTACTGGAAGAATTGATATATTACTTTTAGTAATGTACCTGAGCTAAATGACTGAAGCCTTAGGGTACATAGAAGCCACAATAATTTGTATGACATTTGGAAGTGAATTAAATATTTTCAGACATGCTGATTTGACAGCCAGTGTTATATTTTTTAGACCAACACAAAGCACAATGATTACTCCAAACTCAGTATTTTCAAATTCACATATTTAAAGTCAGGGAGGCTACAATTTCTTTGTCAAAATTATGGGCTGCCATATTTATGTCTATTTCTTCATCTGTATTATTTGATACTCAGAATTTTTAAACTTCTGTAATTTCTGATTTTGTAGACTGTAATGTGTTCATTGCATTTATGAAGTAATATATAATTGTACAGTTTCTGTGAGTAAATGGAATGCTTGGGCTTTCAATACAGTATTCATATAAAGCAATAAATATTAATGTTATAAAAAATGTTTAAAACAAAGTATATGATAGAATGTATGTAGGTCATATGCAAATACTACACCATTTTATATAAGTGACTTGAGCCCTCATCTCTACAGTAGTGTAGAGTACTGGGGAGAAGGCAACCAATCTCCCATGGATACCAAGGAATGACTGTATATAAAGACACAGATAAATTTAAAGTAAAGGAGCCAAAAAAAATACCATGTTAACACTAATCAAAAGAGAGTTGCAGTAGCTATATTAACTTTAGACAAAGCAGATTTCAAAACAAGAAAAATTTTCAGGGATAGAAGAGGGCATCATGTAACAATAAAGGGGTTAATTCTCTAAGAAGACAATAATTTTTAATATGTATGTGCCTAACAGTAGATGTTAAAAATATGTGAGGCAAAAACTGATAGAACCACAAGGAAAAACAGACAAATCTATTGTAGCCAGAGACTTCAACATCCCTTAATAGATCAAGCTGCCAAGAGATCAGGAAGGATGTAATTGACCTGAAAACACTATCAATCAACTTAATATCATTAAGATCACTTTATCCAAAAACACCAGAATATTTATTCTTTTCAAATTCACACAGGACGTTAACCAACCTAGAACTCATTCTGGGAGTTAAAACAACACTTTAACATACAAAATGTGTTCTCAGACCACAATGGGATTAAACTAGAAATAACAAAAAGATAAATGGAAAGTCCCCAAATATTTGGATATTAAACAATATATTTCTAAATAACATATGGGTTAAATAGGAAATCTCAAAAAAAACCCTAAAAATATTTTAACTAAATGAAAATAAAAATACTACTTATCAAAATTTGTAAGATGCAGTAAAAGCAGTGTTCAGAGGAAAAATATATAGCACTAAATGCATATATTAGAAAAGATGAAAGATTTAAATCAATAAGCTTCTACCTTAAGATATGAGAAAAAGAAATTTAGGAATTCCAAGGAGTGCAGACTTTAACCTGAAAATCTAACTGTATTATAAGTGTATCTATGCAAACATAAGAATTGACAGTGCACACACTTGACAAGATGTGATGAAAATGGTACCTTACCTCTGTGGACTTTCTGCCAACCCATAACCCCAGTCTAATAATGAGAAAAACATCAGACAGGCTCTGAGAGAGGGTAATTCTACAAAATACTTGACTCCTCAAAATAGTCAAAGTCATCAAAAACAAGGAAATTCTGAGAAATTATCAGAGCCAAGGGAAGCCTAAGTAGACATGACAAGTAAATGCAATGCGATATTCTGGTTGGCACTCTGGTATAGAAAAAGACATTAGGTAAAAACTAAGGAAATCAGAATGGACTGTGAACTTTAGTTATGAAAAATGTATCGAATTTGGTCTATTAATTTTAAGAAACGTATCATGCTAAGGTATGATGTCAATAATAGAAAAAAAACTAGAGAAGGGAGTACATAAGAATGCTGTACTATCTTTTCCATTTTTCTATAAACCTAAAACTGTTCTAAAAAATAGTATCTTTAAAAAAAAGCATTGTTTTTCTATATATCTTCAATAAGCTCATAGAAGACAAACACTTGAATATAGCATTTACAACAGCTCATCTCCAAAATAAAAAGAAATAAAAGTATCTGTACAAAAAAATACATTAAAAGATTTATAAGACTTCTCCACTAAAACCTGCAAAATATTTCTGAGAAAATTAAAGACTTAAATAAATGGAAAGATATAACATATTCATACACAGGGAAAGGCATAAAGATGTCAGTTCTCTCCAAGCTAATTTTTCGATTCAGTACAAACCTAATCAAAATTCAACCAGTTTTTAAAAAATTTTTAATTGTGAAAATTGACAAGCTGATTCTGAAAAAGCCAAGATAACGAACATAAGACTTACCTCTGTTCCAGATATAAAGCTAAAGTAATACAATGTGATATTGATTTAAGGATAAGAAAATACAATACAATAGTGATTCAGAAAAAGACACACAAATATAGTCACCTGATATATATATATATAGATAGATATATATATATACAAATAAAACAGTGTATCAGATTAGAGAAAAATGATCTTTCCAATAAAAGATGCTGTGTCAATTGAATATCCATGTGGAAAAATTATATATTATATATTGACCCCTACCTAAGACTGGAGACAAAAACCTATTTCAAATGCACTGAAGATTTAAATGTGAAGATAAAACACAGCTTTTTTGTTTGTTTGTTTGTTTGTTTTTTTGAGATAAGCTCTTGCTCTGTCATCCAGGCTGGCATGCAGTGGTGCAAACTCAGCTCACTGCAACCTCTGCCTCCTGGGCTCATGTGATTCTCCCACCTCAGTTTCCTGAGTAGCAAGTAGCTGAGACTGTAGATATGTACCACCATGCTTGTCTAATTTTTAAAGTTTTTGTAGAAATGAAGTCTCACTGTATTGCCATGGCTGGCCTCAAACTCCAGGACTCAAGCAACCCTCCCACCTTGGTCTCCCAAAGTGCAAAATACAGTGTTTTAAAAGAAAACATTGTAGAACATCTAAATGACTTTAGTAACCATATAAAAAAGCTTTGGGAGTTCACCCACCACGACACCTGCCTTACGTGTAATGATAAAGGGAGTTATTTCAGTTGAAACAAAATAATGCTAATAACATGAAAACATAAAAGTACAAAACTCAGTATAAAGGTAAGAATATAGTCAAATTTAGGATATGCTAAATACTGTAAAGGTGGCACATAAATTAGACTTGATCCAGTGTAAAAGATTTTTTAAGTATTAAAAATTACTATAACTACAAAAATTTGGTCATGGAAATAATGTGTAAAAGATGTAAACTGATATCAATAGCATTATATGTGGAGGGGGTAGAGAAATGAAAATGTAGAGATTAGAATGGTGTTTACTAGGGGATTGAGGATGGAGGAAAAAGGAAATAGAGTGACGTTGGTCAAAGGGTACAAACTTTCAGTTGAACAGGAGCAATAAGTTCCCGAGATCTATCGTGCAACATAGTGACTATAGTTAATAATACAGTGTATAAATTTAAAATTCCTAAGAGAATAGATTTTTAAGTATATCACCTACACATACAAAAAATAATAAATGTGTGAAGGGATAGATATGTTAATCAGCCTGATTTAATTACTCCACAATATATACACATATCAAAACACCACATTGCACATCATAAATATATATAGATATAGTCAATAAAAAGAAGAATCTCAAACCAATAACTTAATCTTCCACCTTATGAAACTAGAGCAAGAAGAGCAAACTGAATTCAAAACCAGCAAAGGAAGGAAACAATAAAGATTAGAGCAGATGTGGAGGGAGAAATAGAAAATGAAACAAGCAAAACTGACTAAAAATAGATAATGTAAATATAACTATAACAAGTAACAAAATTGAGTTGGTAATCAAAAAATGTGTTACAAAAAAGAAGCCACCAGATGGCTTCACTGGTGAATTCTACCAAATGCTTAAAGAGGTAACACAAATTCTTCACAAATCCTAACAATAACAATAACAGCAACAAGTAGAAGAGAAGGAAATAGTTATTAACTCAGTTTTTGAGGCTTTGATACCAAAGCCAGACAAAAAATTCACAAGAAAATACTATAGATCATTATCTCTTGAGAGTGTAGATGCAAAAATCCTCAGTAAAATGCTAGTAAGCTGAACCCAGCAGCATATAAAAAAGAAATTTACATGTCGTTCAAGTGGGATTTATCTCAGGAATGTAGGTTTGGTTCAACAAATGAAAATCAAGGTAATGCACCATAAGGGAGAAAAGCTTTTGATAATCTCAATACATGCAGACAAAGCAATTGACAAAATCTAACACCTTTATATGATTAAAAAGCTGAGGCAGGAGAATGGCATGAACCCAGGAGGCGGAGCTTGCAGTGAGCCGAGATCACACCACTGCACTCCAGCCTGGGCGACAGAGCGAGACTCCGTCTCAAAAAAAAAAAAGAAAAAACCAAACAAACAAGCAAAAAAACACTAAAAACAAAAAACAAAACAAAAAAACCCCCTAGTAATAGAAAGAAACTACTTTGAATCAATAAAGGTCATGTATGAAAAACCCACAGCTAACAGCATACTTAATGGTGAAAAAGTTTTTCCCTAAGATCAGGAACAAGACAAGAATGTCTGTTCTCCCTACTTCTATTAAACAGTGTATTTGAAATTCCAGCCAGGCCAATTAGGCAAGATTTTTTAAAAGGTGGGGGATGGAGTGGGATACTGTTTGGAAAACAAGAAGTGAAGTATATCTATTTGCAGATGACATGACCCTATATACGGAAACCCCTAAAAATCTACAAAAGGCCTATTAGAGCTAATATTAGGTTGGTGCAAGAGTAGTTGCGGTTTTTGCCATTACTTTGGCACTGACCTATAAATGAGTTCACCAAGGTTATAGAATACTAGATTAATACAGAAAAATCAGTTGTACTTCTATACACTAGCAATGAATAATGCAAAAATAAAATTAAAAACCCAGTTCCATTGTGATTGCAAGGAAAAAAAAAAAGAATTAAATGACCAGGAATAAGTTTAACAAGAGAGGTGCAAGGCAGTCCATTTGCTGATTTTTTTTTTTTTTTAGAATTTGTTGTTGTATTTTTTGCATCTGTAATTTTCATTTGGCTTCCCTTTATATCACCTATTTTTTTCCCTGGAACTTTACTTCTTTGCCCAGACTTTCTATTTTTTCATCTATTTCAATACTGTTCATAATTATTAGCATTTGCTGAAATATTTTTATGATGGCTATGTTAAAATCCTTTTTAGATAATTCTAACATTTTTGTAATCTTAGGGTTGGTGTCTTTTATTGTCCATTCTCATTCAAGTTGGGATCACCTTGGTTCTTGGTATGATGAGCGATTTTCAATTTCTATTTGGACATTGCAGATATTATAAGATACTGGATCTTATTTAAATCCTGGGTTTTACCAGGCATCCTCTGACACTGTTCTGGCAGGAGAAGTGGGGTCACCTCTTGTAGGCAAGTTGGAATAAAAGCTCAAGTTCTCTACTCAGTCTTCATTGACACACAGCCGAAGAAGGGGTGTCTTCTTACTGCTTAGGTAGGAGTGGGGCTTCAGGCTCTTCACTAGGTCTCTGATGATAGCCCCCTGGATGGGAAAGAGAAGGGTGTCCTATTACTGCTCCCTGCATGGTCTCCACTGATACCATGGGAGGTGGCTTATGCCTATAATCCCAGGACTTTGGGAGGCTGAGGAGAGGATGGCTTGAGGCCAGGAGTTTGAGACCAGCCTGGGCAACATAGCAAGACTCCATCTCTACAAAAAGAATTAAAAAATTAGGTGTGGTGACATGCCTGTAGAAGTATTCACCCAAATACTTGGGAGGTTCAGGTGTGAGGACTGCTTGAGCCCAGAAGTTTAAGGTAGCAGGGAGCTATGGTCATACCACTACCTTCCAGCCTGAGTGACAGAGTGAGATCCCATCTCTTGGAAAAAAAAGGTGAATGATTCTGGATTACAAGGATGTCCAGTGTGTGGTCATTAGAGTATATTGCTAAAGAGAAATATTAGACAACATTTACATTTCCTGTTTTATTTATATATATATATATATATATATATATATAAACTTAGCAAGACATATGTATATAAACAAATACATAATGTGGCAAATATTAGCTTTGCAACTTAATTAATTTTTAAATATATATCCACACATGAACCACAACCCACACACAGATATGTGGCATGTATTTCCAACAATGAGAATCCTTTTTTTTTTTTTTTGAAACGGTGTCTCACCCTGTCTCCCAGGCTGGAGTGCAGTGGCGCAATCTCGGCTCACTGCAACCTCCATCTCCCGGGTTCAAGTGATTCTCCTTTCTTAGCCTCCCGGAGCTAGGACTATAGGCGCCTGCCACCATGCCCGGCTAATTTTTGTATTTTTAGTAGAGACGGGGTTTCACCTTGTTGGTCAGGCTGGTCTCGAACTCCTGACCTCAGGTGATCCACCTGCCTCGGCCTCCCAAAGTGCTGGGATTACAGGCATGAGCCACTGCACCTGGCCGAGAATAGATTTTTTAAAGACCCAAGAAAAGGGGCAGCCCAGCAAGACAGAAAATTTCACCAGTAACTGCTCTACTTTAACCAAACACCACAGAAAAGTGTTCACCCACTCCCTGTACCCACATACCAGCAAAGACTGAGTAGGAAGCTTAAACTTCACCCATACCATACAAGATGCCAGAACCCTGCCTGTTTCCCCACCCCAACCAGAGCAGTATCAGAAAAGGCCTTGTGGGAGCTGGAACTTCCATAACAACCAGGCCATAAAGATGCACCCCATGCCTCAGTTGGAGACCATGTAGGGAGCCTGGACTTCTGCTCCAACCCAGCCAAACAAGTTGCCTCCTGCCTTCTTCATCAGGGTAGTATCAGAGGAGGCCAAATGAAGAGTTGGGAATTTTACCACCATTCACTTATAAACGTGTGGGTCGGGAGAAAGAGATGAAACACAGAGAACAAAACATTAAATACAATTTTAAATAACTTTAAGATATTTTATGAGAGTAGGAATGTGAAAAGTTGGCTCTATAGTAATAACTAAGTAATTTCAATTAAAATATTTTTTACATATTATGTTTAGAAAAAACAAATGAGTATATCATTATTCCTGAAAATTTCCTCACATATAACCCAGAGTGAAAGTTCACCTTGTCATCTTGATTTCATTCTCTTACATGCCCACAATATCCATTCACTTTTTCCCTAACCCAGCAACCTGCGTCCTCATATCTCTACCACACTATCTTATCCAGGAAACTTCCTTTTACTAGAATTCTGGGAAAGCAGTGTCCAACAGCTCTTTGTCAGAAATCCACTGTCCCAAAGTCTTAAATTAACACAATGGCGCAATTTCTGTAGGTTCATTTTCACCCCTTATTTGTTTATTTTTAAAAAATAAAACAAAGCCTTAAGCCGTCAAATGCCTGAGATATACAGGAGCAATGACGTTGCATTTCATCAGCCAATCAAGTAAGAGATGATGGGCCTGAAGCTAACCGGTGCAGACTAGGGGCGAGTTTGGAGCAAGTAACTGTCAGTGAGGTTGCAGTTGGTCTGGGCTGTTTGGCTGTGAGCGAAATAGCTGCCCCCCACTTCTCACTTGCACACCACGGGATACTCCTCCTGAGGCTCCGGATGGTGAGCTCTCCAGTCTCTAGTTTCCTTTTCTGGAAGTTGACCTTTCCTACTGGTACTTTCTCTCTCAGTCTCGCCTCCTAGATGAACAAAGGCTCCCACTGTTTTCCTGCTAGAGATTCAGCCACTCCCTCTTGGCGCTTCTGCCTTTCTTGTGGCAGACCATGGAACACTTTCCCAAAGATCAGCTAGCTTCTCGGTTTGAACTTCTACCCCTTAGCTGCTTCCCCTCCTCCATTATGCTTTTTACATCAACTCTTTGTGAACTATCCAGTGGCATGTGTTCCCTTTGCGTTACTGAAACTGAAAAGTCCAGCCCTAGGGGAAAGCTCACTGGTTCAGGGAATCGCCTCAGGTGTGTGGAGCTGATCTTGAGCTGGAGGAAGGGCTCATTCTGAGTGGAGGGGCATTAGGAGGGCAATAGCCCACCCACCTTCAGAGTCAGTAAGATGTCTGCGTTGTGTGGTAGGAGAGTTTACTAAGGAGACAATCCAGCCTCTGGTATCAATATAAAATAAACCATTAAGCATGAGCTTTGTAGCTGTGAAGATTACTGAGATCCCACAGTGCCCTCTTCAGGATGCTTTCTTCACCTAATTCTTGCAAAACGTTCCAATCTGAAGGAAGAAGACTGTTTCCATGTTCAGTAACATGGTAAATTAGTGTGACTTACGGTTCATGAGACAAAATTTCTCAATGCTGGCTGACTGACAAGGACAAATTCATGTCATTTTTGAGAGGGCAGTCATTAATTTCCTCCACACACAAAGAGAATTGAGATATTAGCTAACATGAGAGATATATATATATATATATATTTGAAATAGAGTCTCACTCTGTCACCCAAGCTGGAGTGCAGTGGCACAATCTAGGCTCACTGCAATCTCTGCCTCTTCAATTGATTCTCCTGTCTCAGCCTCCCAAGTAGTTGGGATTACAGGCATGTGCCACCACACCTGGCTAATTTTTTTTTTTTTTTTTTTGTATTTTTAGTAGAGACAGTTTCACTATTTTGGCCAGGCTAGTCTCGAACTCCTGATCTCAAGTGATCCACCCGCCTAGGCCTCCCAAAGTGCTGGGATTACAGGCGTGAGCCACTGTGCTCAGTCAACTAACTTATTGTTAAATTAATGCAGAGGACCTATGTGATAAACCAATATTTTTTTCTTTAATGGGATTTGGACTCACAGACTTTTACAAAGCTGTCAAAAGTCAGCTTAAGATGAAGAGTTCTAATTATATTGAAAACCTGTGGCCGGGCGTGGTGGCTCACGCCTGTAATCCCAGCACTTTGGGAGGCCGAGGCGGGCAGATCACAAGGTCAGGAGATCGAGACCATCCTGGCTAACACAGTGAAACCCCGTCTCTACTAAAAATACAAAAAATTAGCCGGGCGTGGTGGCTGGCGCCTGTAGTCCCAGCTACTCGGGAGGCTGAGGCAGGAGAATGGTGTGAACCCGGGAGGCAGAGCTTGCAGTGAGCCGAGATCGCACCACTGCACTCCAGCCTGGGCGACAGATCATGACTCCGTCTCAAAAAACAAAAAAAAGAAAACCTGTTTATTCTCATAGCTATTTCCTTACCCATACATTTAACATATTAAGCTACAGTAATGTTAGTATTTTTAAAACTATTTTAAGATGACATCTATTCTCAAATAGAGATTTCTTATGAGATTTTGGAGTAGAGGTTGGGGAAGCCAAATGGTATTTATCACATATGCATAGCCAGAGAGATAAATTGTGTTGAATTTGATCATATATATCTCTGAATTTAAGAGTAAACAGGATTCGTGGTAATTTTATTATTATTAATGTGATTATAATTTAACTTTCATGTTCTGGGATACATGTGCAGGTTTGTTATATGGGTAAATTCATGTCATGGAGATTTGTTGTACAAATTATTTAATCACCCAGCTATTAAGCCTGGCACCCATTAGTTATTTTTCCTGATCCTCTCTCTCCTCCCACCATCTACCCTCAAGTAGGCCCCAGTGTATTCCCCTCTATGTGTCCACGTGTTCTGAATATTTAGCTTCCACTTATAAGTGAGAACATGCAGTATTTGGTTTTCTGTTCCTGCATTAGTTTGCTAAGAATAGTGGCTTCCAGCTCCATCCATGTTCCTACAAAGGACATGATCTCATTCTTTTTTATGGCTGCATAGTATTTCATGGTGTATATGTGCCACATTTAGTTTATCTAGTCTACCATTGATGGGCATTTGGGTTGATTCTATGACTTTGCTTTTGTGAACAGTACTGCAATGAATGTACGCATGCATATGTCTTTATGATAGAACAGTTTACATTTCTTTGTGTTTATACCCCGTAATGGGATTGCTGGGTCAAATGTTAGATCTGTTTTTAGGTCTTTGAGGAATCACCACACTGTTTTCCACAGTGGTTGAACTAATTTACATTCCCACCAACAGTGTATAAGCATTCCTTTTTCTCCACAACCTTGTCAGCATCTGTTATTTTTTGACTTTTTAATAGGAGCCATTTTGACTGGTGTGAAATGGTACCTTCCTTGTGGTTTTGATTTGCATTTCTCTAATGATCAGTGATGTTAAGCTTTTTTTTTCATATGCTTGTTGGCAGCATGTATGTCTTCTTTTTAGAAGTGTCTTGTCCTTTGCCTACTTTTTAATGGGGCTGGTTGTTTTTTCTTGTAGATTATTTTAAGTTCCTTATAGATGCTGGATATTAGACCTTTGTCAGAAGCATAGTTTGCAAAAATTTTCTCCCATTCTGTAGGTTATCTGTTTACTTTGTTGATAGTTTCTTTTGCGTGCAGTAGCTCTTTAGTTTAATTAGATCCCATTTGTTAATTTTTGCTTTTGTTGTGATTGCTTTTGATGTCTTTGTCGTGAAACCTTAGCCCACTCCTATGTCAAGAATGATGTTGCCATTACCAGCCACTACAAAAACACACTTAAGTACACAGACCAGTGACACTGTAAAGCAAGCACACAGTCAAGTCTGCATAATCACCAGCTAACATCATGCTGACAAGATCAAATCCACATGTATCAATACTAACCTCGAAAGTAAATGGGCTAACTGCCCCAATTAAAAGGCACAGAGTGTCAGGATGAATAAAGAACCCAGACCCTATGGTATGCTGTCTTCAAGACACCCATCTCACATGCAAGATCGAAAGAAATGGATGGAGAAAAACTACCAAGCCAATGTAAAACAGAAAAAAGCAAGGGTTGCAATCCTGATTTCAGACAAAACAGACTTTAAGCCAACAAAGATCAAAAAAAAAAAAAAAGAAGGAAAAGAAGGTAATAACATAATGGTAAAGGGTTCAATTTAACAATACCTAACTAAATATATATCCACTCAACACAGGAGCACCCAGATTCATAAAGCAAGTTCTTAGAGACTTTCAAAGAGACTGACACTCCCACATAATAATAGTGGGAGACTTCAACATCCCACTGACAGTTTTAGACAGATCATCAAGGCAGAAAATTAACAAACATATTCAGGACCTAAACTCAGCAGGCTCAAATGAACCTGTAGACTTCTACAGACCTCTTCACCCAAAAACAAAAGAGTATACATTCTTCTCATTGCCACGTGACACATACTCTAAAATCAACCATACGGTCAAACAAAGAACACTTGTCAGCAAATGCAAAAGAACTGAAATCACAATAACCACTCTCTCAGACCACAGCACAATTTTATTATTTTCTGAAAAAAAAATTTATTATAATTGAATGTGTAAACACTTATTACAATTTTTAAATAATTTTAGAAATGATAAAAATGCTCATGGGAACATGTATTCTTAGTTTGGAAAACAATAGACTTCTTAACTATATTAAATTCAGAAAGCATGTAGGAATGTGTAACTGTGGTACAGAAAATAATTTTCCTTATTTCGTCTAGCCTGTATACTCGAGGATGCTTAGTCTTGGCATAAGAGTGGGCAAGTTAAGAGGTGACATTGACAATATTTTTCTCAATAGTTTGATGTTAAGAGCAAATATTACTAATTGACCAAAATGTTCTTTCCTAATGGCAGGGGCTTCCCCTGGAGCAGTGTTTCTAAACACCAGTTGCTCATTAGAATCACTGGAAAGCTTTTAGAGTTCCCAGTACTCAAGCTGCACCCCAGAAGAATTAAATTAACCTTGGAGGGTGGGCACCAAGGCATCAGTATTTTCTAAAACTTGCCACGTGATTCCATGTGTGGCCAAGGTTGAGAATGTCTGTTAAGAGACATAGCTGAGCTCACTCTTCTCTGTCACTTATATTACATTCGAGATCTTCAGGTCTACCTACAGTTCTTGATATGTTTAGGTAACATTAAAAAATTTAGAAATCCTTTGAGGAAAAGAACCAAACACAAAACCCAAAACAACCCCCAAATCCAGGAAGTGATCTAATACTCAGAGATAGGACTCAGTATGTTGCTCCAGGCTGGCCTTAGGCTCACAGCTGCGCCAATGTTGTTCTCCTCTTTGACATAAATGATCCCACAGAACATCAACATCAGACAAAGTCACTTCAAACCTTAGCAAAATGAGACACAAAGGTTGTTGTGCAACCTATACAACACCAAACACCCTCAGTCTCAGCTAAAATGAGTGACTGCTGCTTCTGTGCCCATCACAGCTGTATCTTAGCTCTAGTCTACCCTCCTTATAGTAAAGTTTTATTGAATACTCAATCACGGAATTGTCCTCACTTTCTGACAGCACCTTACCTAAAGTGAACCCTCACTTCCATAGACCTTTTCCAAAATTACCCAGACAAAGCGCAGATCCTCTAATAGGTTATTTCTAACACTCTTTTGCTGATATACCCCATGGTTTCCCATGGTGAGTCATCTCCTTCACCGCAACAAATAAATAACAAACAAAACTTGTTAACTACAGATGTATTTCTGGTAACATTTGGCTGAAGGGCATTGACAGCCTTTCTCACAAAACCTCACCAAGAATATTGAAAAGAAGCTGGCTTTGAGACTAAAAATTGAGCAATGTTGTCTGAATTGAGCGGATCACAGTGGTTGCTAACCTTGGCTGGGTTAAATTAAAATTACCTGAAGAGCCCAGGCTGCAAACCAGACTGAATTAAATCAGAATCTCTGGAGATAGGACGTAGGCACCAAGTATCATTATAGCTCCTTAGGTAATTCCAAAAAATAATAAATAAAGGGAGAGAAATTACACAGACTAGAAAATTATACAGATTTGAAAACTGAGGCCAGTGGTGTTAAAGTAAGCTACCCTGAGTCTTTCAACCTACAAGCAGAAGCCCATCAGACCTACGAATGCAAGTAGTCTGACCGCAGATTCTGAAATTTGTTTTAGAGACAAGGTATCACTCTGTCACCCCGGTTGGAATGCAGTGTCACGATCATAGTTCACTGCAGCCTTGAATGCCTGGGCTCAAAACAATGTCCCACCACCCCCTCAGCCTCCTGAGTAGCTAGGACCATAGGCGAGCACCACACTGAGGTAAGTTTTTTATTTTTTGTAGCAATGGAGGCTTGCTATGTTGCCCAGCCTGGTCTTGAATTCCTGGCCTCAAGGGATCCTCCCATCTTGGCCTCCCAAAATGTTGGGATTATAGGCATGGGCCAGTATGCCAGCCAGAGTATGCACTTTTACCTTGGTGGTAATATGTTACAAGCTTTGTGAATGTTATCTATAAGGCTTTTGATGCTGGTGATACAATAATAAGAGGAAAACAGCACAAAATTTAATCGTAAAAGGATGAGCCCAACAATGCAAATAAAACCTGTAAGAGCCACTAGATGATATGATTTTGGGTCATTTCTCTTCTGCTTTTGAAATACTTGTTTACATATTTATTTCAAGAAGTGTTCACAATAAACATGTATTTATTTTCCCCTTCAAAATATTGTTTTATAATAAAAAGGAAGACATAAGAAAACATATATATATCATATGTATATATGATGTGTGTGTGTGCGTGTGTGTATGAAACTGAAAAAAAAATTTGCCAGGTTATGAGAGGAATTGTAATTTCTTTTCCTTTTCCTTTTTTTTTTTTTTTTTTTTTTGAGACGGAGTCTTGCTCTGTGGCCCAAGCTGGAGTGCAGTGGCACGATCTCGGCTCACTGCAAGCTCCGCCTCCCCGGTTCACGCCATTTTCCTGCCTCAGCCTCCCGAGTAGCTAGGACTACAGGCGCCCGCCACCATGCCCGGCTAATTTTTTGTATTTTTAGTAGAGACCGGGTTTCACCATACCAGGATGGTCTCAATCTCCTGACCTCGTGACCCACCCGCCTCGGCCTCCCAAAGTATTGGGATTACAGGCGTGAGCCACCGTGCCCGGCCAGGAATTATAATTTCTTAGTAAGGCAGCCATATGAGATGCTGATAGAAGGCACTAAAAAATGTCAAGCTACCATTATGAGAGATAGAATCATAATATCCTGTGTGAAATGTAAGACCTTTGATGTAAAACTTTCCTTTCCATGGGAAGCAGGCGAGATTGCCTGACTGTGGTTAACTGTCTATTGTTTCAAACTCTTATCAAGGCCCCTCTTGTTCCTCTTCCAAGAAGTAACAAAGAAATAGAACATGTAACAATTTCCCTGATTTAAGAAAGTTTTTTGGTTTTAATATTTTTCTTACATTCTTGGTTGCTATATACACATATAAATTTAGAGAACACCTGGTCTGTCAGTGTCCCAAATGAGATCAAAGAAGGCTGTGATTGGATATCATCATGATTTATTAATTTCTGTCTGGATAAAACAACAAAAGAGATCCAAATATTCTTCCCTGCTTTTCCTCCTACTTTGGAATAGCTGTCAGAACATGCTTGCAGAGGCTTAGATAATCTGAGGACAAAACCCTTTGTTGTCCTTCCACAGAGCTAAGTAACCTGCACCAGCTTGTGGTTCCAATGACCACATTGGTGAGTGTGAATAGTTAGATGGAGAATCCTTCTTTCAGACAGTTGGATGGATTCAGAGTGGGTAACAAGTGCGTAGTGCTTGGCATTGTAAGTAAACATAAGGTAACACTGGTAGTCTCTATCACTTGGGGTTCTGACTTTTTTATTACATTAACTTGAAAGCATCATAGAAGGGAGAGGCATCCCTAAATTTGGCAGACCACGAGAAATCACTAGAAATAATTAAAGGAGAATAGGGCTTTTTTTCTTTTTTAGAAAATTATTAGAAGGCCACCAAGAAGGCAAATCTTATGTTTCTTAGATTCAGATGGACTGTGAAAAACAACAAGATGGATGATCATATGGAGATTGCTTCTAACATAAATCTGCATAAAAATTTTTCTGAAACATGGCTGGAATATTTAAGGAGTTTTTTTTCAGTACTGAGGACCTCCCTGAAGTCATTCTAACATTGTCTTTGATCAGCTCCATTGGAGGTAAGTATCACTCTCTCTTTATCTGAGTTTATTCTTCCGGTACATCTTATAAATGCTACCATATAGAATTAAGGAAAGTAGAAGTAATAGGATATAATTTTGTTCTCAAACTTATACCTTTAGCTCAATATTTTCAATCAAATGAATCCAATAATAATTTGCTCCTATGGAGAGACGTGTAGAATCTGATTTTCATAACATTCATCCTATTGGGTTCAAAGTGTTCATTCATACCTTCTTACTTGCTATGTCAGGGTCAGATTTCAATGAAGGAGATAATTGAAGAAAACAGGCAGAAAATCAAGGGTTGGGGCAGGGTGTCCCATAGGTTTTGTCCAAATTATAAATTATGCCTGCTATTTTGAGAAGAAAAGAACATGGTATAAACAAAAAGAAAACACTTTTTGCACTATCTTTGACCTGATTAGGGACTGTATTACAAAGAAGCAGAAAAAAATGAAATGGAAGCAAATGTTATGATATTACTTATTGCACTTTTAAAACAATAATACACAAAGTTAAATATTTGTTATGGGCTTTTTAATGTGTAATAAGTAATTTTTTTCACAGTATTATAAAAATTTTATTTCAAAGCTTTTGATATAGCAACACATAAAAGCAATATGAAAACTAACTGTTAGGCCAGGTCCAGTGGCTCACACCTGTAATACTAACACTTTGGGAGGCTGAGATGGGCAGATCACTTGAGTCCAGCAGTTCAAGACCAGGCCCATGAACACAGCAAAACCTCGTCTCAACAACAACCAAAAATTGGCTGCACATGTTAGCACGCACCAGTAGTCCCGCCTACTCAGGAGGCTGAGGTAGGAGGACTGCTTGAGCCAGGAGGTGGATATTGCAATGAGCCAAGATCATGCCACTGCACTCCAGCCTGGGTGACAGAGCTAGATCCTATCTCAAAGAAAAAAAATAAAAAGTAAATGTTAAATTATAACTGAATACCATAAGGAAAAATATAGCTGTTTGTAGACTTGATGTGCATATTTACATCTGGTTAAATATGCGGACTCCCTTGCTTGTTTTCCACGCAAGGAGTCCTGGCTTTGAGCATGCAAGCTGAAATTATGCAGTGTAATCTTAATCTATGCAAAAATTTATGATTGTTCTGTGACTTTTAAATTTGCTAGATTAAAAACTCTCCTGGCTGGGCACGGTGCCTGATGCCTATACTCCCAGCACTGTGGGAGGCCAAGGTGGGCAGATTGCTTGAGCTCAGGAGCTCAGGACTGGCCTGGGTAACATGGCAAAGTCCCGTCTCTACTAAAAACACAAAAAAATTAGCCTGGAGTGGTGGTGCACACCTATGGTCCCAGCTACTTGGGGGACTGAGGTGGGAGGATCGCTCGAGCCTGGGAGGCGAAGGTTGCAGTGAGCCGAGATCATACCTCTGCTCTCCAGCCTTGGTGACATAGCATCACACCTTCTCAAAACAAAAACCTCTCCTGTTGTTGGCTATAAATATTTTTCAGGAGATCAAGACCATCCTGGCTAACATGGTGAAACACTGTTTCTACTAAAAATACAAAAAATTAGCCAGGCATGGTGGCAGGCACCTGTAGTCCCAGCTACTCAGAAGGCTGAGGCTGGAGAATGGCATGAACCCAGGAGGCGGAGCTTGCAGTGAGCCGAGATCATGCCACTGCATTCCAGCCTGGGTGACAGAGCAAGACTCTGTCTCAAAAAAAAAAAAAAAAAAAGAAAAATTGTATTTTTTTCTAATAATGTAAAACTAATATTTATTTAGTATACTTAATAAAACTTTTAGTAATTTAAAATATTTTAGTAATTTAAAATATTAGAAACATTGAAACACTAAAACATTTCTTTATAATTTTATAAAGAATAGTTTGAATAATGCTTGTCTTACCATATAACTTACTAGTGTTCATCTTTTCTATGCCTTGGCAAATTGTCTCACTCCTTCTTAACTTTGGGTCAGCTTCCAAAAGTTTATCCTTTGCATTTTCAATGTAATGAAGTATCTGAGAGCTCCTTTAATGTGAAGTTTTTTGCTGGCATCACTTCCTGAGACATGGTTGTTCTTTACATAACAACCACTTTCTTAATTTATGTCTATACATTTGACTTTGCTAAATTCCCCTGGCTACATATCTAGAACTGCCTCTTGAACAGCAGCAGCGTTAACATTCCCATAGTCAGCTTTATCTTCTGTAACATTCTATCTGAAGCTTGCAGCTTCATGAGATAGCTTAACATCAATTCATGCCGACTTCTGAAATGATGAACCCAGCTTTTACTGGTAATAATATATTCTCTTTCAGTCTTCTTGTCATTACCATTTTCTTTCAATGCAGTAACTAAAGTTATCACTTTGGCCTGAATGCTAGTCAAACTGATTGGGATTTGTTTTTGATTAGTCTTCAATCCAAACAAGTAAATGCTCCATTTCAACCACAAGCAGCTCTCTGTTCCCAGTGCAACTAAAACTGAAAGATGTTGAAGCAACTTTACCTTTTTACATTTATCAGACTTTTAAAATAGGTTTGTATTACAATTTCATGCAGGTCTGGGTCTCAACCTATCTTTGCTTTGCTGTCACCACTTTCAAATCTAATCACATCCAATTTCACTTCCAGCATTATCACTTTTCTTTGCTGCCCTGTCCCTTGCTAACCAGTTACCTCTTTTGATTATCCATTTTTGTAAATGGTCACGAGTTTAATCCTTGGGGTCGCGGAGGCAACACTACTATGCACTTTGTGCTTTGCTATCTGTGCATGAACTGAACAGATGATCAGTAACGAATCACCAACAAACTTTGAAAGAAGTAATGTAATAGGCGACCGATCATGATGCCCATCTTTTTTTTTTTTTTTTTGCACAGTGATTTGTGGACTAAAGAGCTGGCAGCAAAATTTATGCAAGTTTTCTCAATACTGTGGTCATGGAAATATTAACCACATTGTTGGACTGGTTTTATTTAACTTAACTGTGGTAACCAATATTTATGCATATTGGAACTGTGCAAAGCAAGGACTGCCTGTATCTAAAAAAAGCAAAACTGCCTATGAGTTCACAAAACTTTTAATCCAATTTAGTTAACTACTGTCAAAGCCTAATCCTGAATCAAATAAAAACTGAACTGCTTACTGGAGTTAGAAAAATGTTTGGAAAGAATTTAATGCAGAATTCTTCAAATTAGGATTTGCATAGAACAAAGACATTCTTTTTTTTTTTTTTTTTTAGAGATAGGGTTTTGCTCTGTCACCCATTGTAGTGGCAATAATCACAGCTCACTGCAGCTTCAAAACCTCGGGTGCAAGTGATCCTCCCACCTCAGCCTCCCAAGCAGCTAGGACCACAGGCACACACAACCATGCCTCATTAATTATTTTATTTTTTGTAGAGACAGGATTTCATTTTGTTGCCAGGACTAGTCTGGAACTCCTGGCCTCAAGGGATCCTTCTGCTTTGGCCACCCAAAGTGCAAGGATCACAGGCATGAGCCTCCATGCCCAGTCGACATTCTTTTGGGAATTCAGATCCCCTCCCCTCATTTCAATAGTCTTGAGGTCTGCAAAGAGTAAAGTTGTAGACAAAACGATCATCACAAGGCACATGACTGTAACTTTTTCCATAGCAGCCAGTACCATGTTTACTCCTCGGTAAAACAGTAGCATCCATTCCATTAATGTTGTTTTAGTTTGTTTCTGAATGCATTTATTTCACAAATTTGTTTGTTAAGGGCTATAAACAAAATTTGTATCAATTTTTATGTTTGTGTATATTTACAAAATAGAAAATTAAGTCAGCATTAATTTAAGTTAACATGAATAGTCACAATAATTTTTCCCCTCTATAAAGGGTGAATATTCAAGGAGACTTCAAAAATTTGTGGAAAAATGGAATTAAAAGATAAAAGTATAAACTATATTTCTAAACATTAGCTTGACCGAGTTCAAGACACTTTTCTAAGGGATGATACCAGCTATTTAGTCCATCCGAAAGAACTGAGAGTTCTGGAAATTTAACCACATCAATGCAGTTTTTTTTTTTCATTATTAACTGAAGAACAATGTACTGCCCTTAACAAATTATTAGGATTAGGACAAAAAAGTGAGAAGGTGCCAAACTGGGACTATAGGGTGAATGCCTAGTGATTTCCATCAAAACTCTCACAAAATTGCCCTTGTTTAATGAGAGGGACGAACAGGAGCATTGCTGTGGTGAAGAACTCTCTGGTGAAGCTTTCTCCGGCATTTTTCTGCTAAAGCTTTGGCTGAGTTTTTCAAAACACTCTCATAATAAGCAGATGTTGCCATTCTTTGGCACTACAGAAAGTCAACAAGCAAAATGCCTTGAGCATCCAAAAGCTGTTGCCATTACCTTTGTTCTCAACCAGTCCACTTGTAGTTTGACTAAACTATTTCTGTATCTTGGTAACCATTGCTTTAATTGTGCTTTGTCTTCAGGATCGCACTGGTAAAGACAGGTTTCATCTCCTGTTACAAGTTTTCAGTGAAATGCTTCAAGATCATGAGCCCATTTATTAAAATGGCCATTGAAAGCTCTGCTCTTGTCTGTAGCTGATCTGGGTGCAATGGTTTTTGTACCTCTCAGGTGTAAAGTTTGTTGAACTTTTCCGGTCAGAATTGTGTAAGGTGTGTCTATGGTGTTGGTTGTCATTTCTGCTGTTAATTGTTGGTTTTCTTCAATTAGGCCATGAACTAGATTAGTTTTTTTCTCACAATCTGATGTGGATGATCCGCCACTGTGGGCTTCTTCTTCAACATTACATATCCCTTCTTAAAACTAATTATTCATTTATAAACTGTTCTCTTTGGAGCATTGTCTCCAAACATATATAAACTTTTCATAAAGCATCAATTAAGTCACCATTCTTCCACCCAAGTGTCAACATAAATTTGATGTTTGTTCTTGCTTCAATTTTAGCAAAATTCATATTACTCTTTTCAAACCGATGTCTTATTCTTCTTAATGCTTCAGACTAGATCCTTATGATATAAATCTTCAACGTCTTGATCAAATAAATATGACAAATTATGTTCTGTAAGAAAAACACCCTTCACTTTTATTCCTTCCCTGCATATTTTGAGTAATTATCTTCTAAGACCCATGCATCTTTTCCCAAAATCTCTGAGAGTACAATTCCTTATTTCCTTCACTGTGGCAAAGTGTTTCAGAAATGTGTTCCTTGAATTAAAAATCGGTGTATCCTATTTGACTCCCGCTCCTCCAGGATCACATACCTGCAGCCAACCATGCCAAGAGCTTCCCCATTATCTCCACATCGGAGAGCCTTTTCTCCCAATATCCTCCAGTTTCAGAGACTGCACCCGGAGACCCATTATCAGGTTCCCAGATTCACCTCGATTTTGGTCCTGCCTCTCTGCTTTGCATTCTCAGGCTCAGCCTTACAAGAAGGGCGATGGTGTCGGATTGTGCCAGAATTAGTGAAAACAGGAGGAAAATGAACCAGTTGCAGCAAAACCCACTATTCCACAACTAGTTTTTTAAGTTGGTCTAGTTTCTCATTGTTCCTGAACCAGATTTCATTAAAGTTTACTTACTAATCTTTTATTGCAGGATTGCTAAAGAAACTAATCTCTGATTTATAATGTGTACAAAACTACTATAAATATTTCAATAGTAACCCAAGAGCCAATAATTGCTAGTAATGTTTGTTAAGTTTCTAAGGAGATGAGAATGAGATACATCATAGGAGAGGTAAAACAGTAACCCGGTAGATTAACAGTTACACTGATTCTGTGTGCTGATAAGTGTGAGGGAGGATTTTAAACTCATGAAAAGTAGTGAAACTGTAAGACATTGTTCACAATTTTAAGAAATCATGTCACATTAAAGTTCTATAAATGAGATATCTCATTGCCTTTCAGTAACAACATATTTTTTGCAGCATTTTTGAACCGGCACTTGGAAGACTTTCCAATTCCTGTCCCTGTGATATTATTTTTACTTGGATGCAGTTTTGAAGTATTAAGCTTTACATCTTCACAGGTGTGTATTGTAAATGAGTATTTTACACTATTTATTTGAGAATTATATAAATGCAGAGATGGCATTTAAAATTTGCAAAAGTTATTCATCCCCTCACTGTTCTGCCAGTTGATAGATGATTGTGATGTGGCTAGCATCACGTCAGGTATGTAGAAAAAGGAGCCAGGCCTGCAAAAGCTGAGATCTAGCTGAGATCTGCAAAAGCTGAGTACATACAGCTACTGAGTACATACAGCTACTGAGTACATACATAAAAGTATTAGTGGCCAAGGAATGTTAAACAGATTTTAAAAGCTTGGGAAAAAAATGGCTAATGACATAGGAGCTCAGGGAGACTTTGTACTGCTGGTACAGGACTTGAGTAGCAAAAATATTATAATATTGAACTAATCTATTTCCTCAATGAAGACTGTTTTAAAGGGTTTCTGTTAGATGAGAAACTAGTCTCTTAAGTGTGCAGATTTGGCCAAGGGGCCATAATTTGCCAATATCTGCCCTAGTCAATCAGAATGGATGGGAGAACTTGTCTGAAATGATTGACTTTCCCAAACAAATTCAGTCAATGATGTTAAAAATATTATACAAAACATGTATTCATGTAAGAACCAGAAGCAGTTTACTCCTTTACATGTCATAAACAGGTTTTGTAATCATATGATTTTGACACAGATGCAATTTGAAGTACTTCTATAAGCTTTACTATTTGTCAGCAACTCCTGCAAAGGAAGAGACCAATGTTAAGACCCATGAAGGGGCTAAGATTTTTCTCTACTTGCCAGCTAATAAGCTAGCCTGCCAGTTTCATGATCCCAGCAAAAGAGATGGGACTCCTGGACCAGAGAAAAAGGGTTTTATTATCCACAGCAATAGCAATAACCAGAGTTAACATTTTCTTGTGCCTGTTTCCTGAACCATAATCCCAAAGAAGCAAAGAAGGCCAGGTGAAATCTGCACCTACATTGGGTTATATATCTGGCCACAGGAGAAGAAATGTAAGCTTAGAGAACCCGAATCTTCTATAATGGGTAGTAAGCTCATCTGCTCTCTTGCCTATTCTTCCACACACATCTTCTATATAAGCCATAGCCAATTATTTGTAGTTTTTAGAATTTGGTACAATCACTTACTCCTTTGTGAATTTTGTGCATGATTATCCACCTACCTGAAACTTCTTTCTTCGTCTTGATTGCCTGAAAATCTGCTGCATATTCTTTAGTACCCATGTCAATGTACTTCCTATATCTGTTCTTTAAATGTAATAAATGTCTCTGAGGGAGATACTATCTTTATTACACTGGACAGTAAAGTAAACCTGTCATTTGCTCTGGAGGACAACACTTGCTCTGCTTCTAAGCCATACCAACATTCATGAAAAGATAGTCTGGAAGAAAAACAACCAATGCCTGTATGCATAAACCGTGGAGAAACACAAGAGACACATGGAGAATTATCTCCCAAATGCAAAGATATTACCTAACACAGTAGGTACTCAGTGTTTCCCTAGTAAGTGAATATTGAATGGATACCTAGAATAGGAGTTACACATTTCCACTAAATATCTCATGTTAAACATTGTTTATTAGTTATTGCATGAATTACATTAACTTTCCAGTCTCTATCCGTTCTATTCTTCCACACATATCTTCTACATAAGCCATGGCCAATTATTTGTAGTTTCTAGAATTTGATACGATCACTTACTCCTTTGTGTGATATATCTTTTAAAAATTGTCTTTCTCTACTGTTAGATTTAGGAGCACCTAGCATGTATTCTATTCTAATAGTGATGAATAAATGAGAAGATGATATATTTGTATAATATTAGGTCCAAAGATACGCAAACGCCATACAATGGATGAGTCCAGACTTATTTTTTCGTATATTTACACCAGTAGTTTTCTTTACTACTGCATTTGACATGGATACGTACATGCTTCAAAAGTTATTTTGGCAGGTAAGCATTCTTTTTTGGTAATATCATTCATTCATGAACCACATATTATCTATGTTCAAATTTTTAAAATATTTTTTTCCAAAATAGGGAACAAAGAAGAAAGAAAAGGGTATGGGAGTAATAAATTCAGCTTCATCATTTAGTGAATAAGCCATATCTTGGCAATTGCCTAGCATATCAAAGACCCAGGGGAAAAATTAGAAAGAAAACAGTAATTCTGAAAATCTGACTTGCATAACTTCATACCAGATATAATTTTAACTCGGAAATGCTACAAGAGTGCTATGAGAAAGTGTATTAGCTCCAGTAAAAGGAAATTGCTAAGAAAAGTCATGTTTTAAATACCTATGTTTTAGAGCTTCCTACATTCATATCTAAGAGAATAAAAGCAGAGAAGAAAACACAAGCAGCTAAACTTTAATTCAAAAACCATAAGTTTTTTAATATGTGAGATTTGAACGGTATCAGGGAAAGACCTCAAGAAAAAACACTCCAAATCATAAGTAGGGTGTACGTTTCTTTCAAAGTAATCAAAACAGTTTTGTAAATACAGGCCATTACCTAAACTGCATTAGAAGCAAATAATTTGTTAGAATAATTTATACTTTTAAGCCAAATCCAGACACATGGAGTTCAGACAAATGACAAAAAGATGAAATAAAAAAGAACAGACAAAAAAGGGGTCCTGCATCTTTGGTCAAGTGGAAGTCAGCTGAAGCAGCGTGAGCTAGATGGCCCCACTCCTGTGTCTGCTGGTGGGTACTGTTGGTGTTGGTTGATTCTGTATCTCCAATAATCCTGATTATTTTCTTCTTAAAATGGACTACAAAAGCAGTCTGATTTTTCTAATTGTAAAATTTCTTTGCAGATACTTTTAATTTCAATTCCCGGCTTTTTGGTTAATTATATCTTAGTTCTTTGGCATCTGGCATCTGTAAATCAATTACTTTTGAAGCCTACCCAATGGTTATTATTTTCAGCTATCCTTGTGAGTTCAGATCCCATGCTAACCGCAGCTGCTATAAGAGACCTTGGTAGGTATATTGTTCTCTTTTTCTATATTTATAATATCATATTTCATAATGAACTTGTATTTTAAGATCTTTTGCTTTTGGTAGCTTTTCACTGTGAGAAGTCAGGTAGTGAGGGATTGGGGGTTGAGGATTAAGCAGAGATTCTGGAGGTCATGCTTAGGGCAGAAGAAATGCCAGTGATGGGCTTACTTAGTGTCAAAAAAAGTATTATACGCAATTGTGGAATAGGGGAGGGGATTAGTTTAGAACCCTTGACTTTATACATACTTCTACCTTGAGCCAACAGAACAGTTCTGGGACGTTACAATATTGCATATACACTGTGGTGACATTTCTGTTGCCCAATATTTCTTTTCCTTTGTAAAGAATCATTAGGACAACGCCATTTTAAAAATATTTTGCTTTTGGAGTCATTGTCATCATCAAGACTGAAAGCCTAAAAAGTCAAAAAATGGTAAACTCAACAATCACACAGTGTTTTGAGTGTATAGTATCTTAAGAAAAATCTATCTATATTTAAAAGTAAAATACCAACTCAATTTAGCCCAGAAAAACAAAAATAAAAAGCCTCATGCAAGAAAAACAATAACTTTATTGTCCCCTTTCATCACTTTTTAATAATGAGAACTAGAAAAATTGCTTTAAAATAGAATATTAATATGGCAACCCATGCACACATTTGCACACACACACGCATACTCTTTTCAATTTTAATTTCACTTTCTAGCCAATTAAAGGGGAAATAGCTATCTGAGGCAGGTAGAAATATAGAGTAGGGGAGACACATCAAGTGTAAATATATGAATAAATGAGAGCTGAGCCTTCAAGACAAAGGACATTAAGAGAGTGAGATAACACTTTAGAAGAAGATGCCAACATCCACCATCCAACCCTGGATTCTTGTCTTCCTCCCCATACTCTCAGCACACATCCCTGCCTCCTTGTGACTGTCAGTGCCAGCCCTTTTCTCCGCTATATTTGAGAGACTCTTATGATACCTGAGAGCTGATTTCACTCTTGTCTAACTTTGTTATTTTGTAATCTAGTATTCCACTGATTTTCTATCCTGCTGCTATTGAACTTAATTTACGAAGAGTACCTTGCAAGGTTATTTTCATAAATTTTGTCCATCTTGCCATTACTTTCAGAATTTTGTTTCTCTCCTCCCTGTATCTTTCCAGAAGAAATTTTTAAAAGTAATTTCTTCTTGGCAGCATTGTTCCTGAGTTGACAAAGCAAGATTTATAAGATTTAGATATATGTATATATGTGTATGTGTGTGTACGTGTGTATATGCATATATATATATTTTTTCATATATATATATACTTGAAAAATTTGCCCAGGACTGTCAGAATACATAAGTACATCCACATTGGCTTGAGCTTTTCATGTCCTTTGACTCCTCCTATGCCCTTACATCTACTACGTATTTCTGAATATTTACATTTTTCCATACTTCCATTTTCTAAAATGGGATAATTATACAATAATATCAGTTAGGTTTTGCTGAGTAATAAACAACTCCAAATGTGGTGGCTTAAACAACAATTATTTATTATTTCTCATGAATCCAGCAGTTCTGATGATATGGGCTGGGTTCTACTGATCTTGCTAGGTTCACTAAGGAATCTGTAATCAGCTGGTGGACACTGAGGGGGCTAAGTGATCCAGGATGGCCTCATTTGGGAAGATCTACGTTTCCTTCTTGTATCTCTTATATTCCTACAGAGGAATGCTGCCATGGCGGTGGCAGGAGTCAGGGAGGAGGCAGAAATTTTCTGCTCTCATCGAGTCTCATAAAAAAACAAACTAGATCTTTTTGGTGAGAAACACTGCCAAGTCTTACAGCGAAGGGCATAGATACAGGCAGATGTGAAGTATGGAATGGCCAAGGCAATTGAGCCACACAGGAACAGCCTTGGTGTTTCTTCTCTTCTATCAGCATACTGATTGTAGTTAGGTTGTGATTGCAGTTATAGAGTGGTTGATTCACAGAAAGGACTTTCACTGCATAATAACATTTCCTCCTATGGCTTTTAGAAAATCACTATAGATGGTCAAAGTTGTAGTCTTACCACTACATGCACATTTAATGGCAGAGGAAAAGGACAACAGACATTTAAACTTAGAATGCCATCATAAATAGAGGAAAATTTGGATGGAAGTGAGTAGTATCAGGAACTCTCCATTCATGGAGATTGATTTCTAAAACCATTGGGAAGAATGAATGAGAAAGTCAGATAATTTCTAAGCCTAGCTAGATTATGTGAATAACTGCCTTAATACTTTATTTGGATGTCATGTTATAAAGCTTTGGTTTGTAAATTTACTTTATTCCTCAATCATCATTTTCTGTCTTGCCTTAAATATATCTGATTTATCATGCATGTATTTATATAGAACAACTCACTGAATTAAAAATAATAATAAATTTCATGTTTTCCTCTGTGCTTTGAAGCAAGGAATGAGAACTTTGATTATCTCACTTACATAAACATAATGGGCCATAATTAATTTAGTGCCAATTATGATTGTCTAAACTTAACTTACAGTAAATCCATAGCTAAGACCATCCTTATAGTTGCTAAGAAAATTGTATTCTTTAACATTTAATTTTTAATGTTTTTCTCACTTTAAAAAACATCTTTCCCCCTCAACATATGTAGGGCTTTCTAGAAGCCTCATCAGTTTAATTAATGGAGAAAGTCTGATGACCTCTGTTATATCATTAATTACATTTACTAGTATTATGGATTTTGACCAAAGACTACAAAGTAAAAGAAACCATACCTTAGGTAAGTATATTTTTAAAAAATTTTTCTCAACATCAGAATCCTGTATTTTCTGAAAGCTGATGTGTATTTTGTAATATCCTACCATAAGTTATATTTGTAGGAATATAATAGTGAGTATTGGTTTAGTGACTTACTCTTTACAAAGCACTATTACACATTACTTAATGTTAGTTACATATTTGTTGTGAGACTGGGTTGAGACTCTTCATGAAGATGCTTATGGGAGCAACATTTCACAGGCCTGGGCTGAACCAGAATGCCAGACCACCAGAATGAGGGATATTCTTTTTTATGTGCTGAAGATGAGCTTAGAAGATAAGCCAAATAGTGCATCCACTAGTAGTGAGAGGAGGCGGCTTCTCTTCCCTTTGCCCTGGAACTATATCTCATGCAGGCAACATAAAAAGGTGTCAAATAAGGGAGGAAGTATGAGTTATTAGCCATCTACAGGGCCAGAGAATAGTGCTTGTAAGCAGAGGGATTGCAAAGTGCCCATGAGCTGTTTCATTTACCGCTTTCAGATAGCCCTAAACCATAAGTACTTTTTTTCCCCTTTATCATGTTTATGTGTGTATATAAAATAAATGATATATGTATATTATAATAGTGATTGTAATGTATACAGCTATATAACTATTAATCAGGAGAAGAAATTTCATGTTACCACCATCCCTAGAAGCATCTTATGTGCTCCTCTCTGGTCAAAACCCTGTATCTTCCTCCTAGAAAAGTCATTTTCAATGTTTAGTCTCTGAATCCCTGGCTAGTGGAGGAAGGGGGTTCATAGGATCCTTTCAGGATGTCTATGAAATCAAAGCATTTTCATAATATTACTGAGAATTTATTTACCTTTTTATTGTGGTGCACTTGCGCTGGTTTTGGAAAAGCAATTATTACAGTCTCCTTGATAAACTGACGACCTACTATTCTATGCACTGGGTGTCTTCTTTGTTCTAAGGTCTTATGTAGCATTGTCTCATTCCACCACTGCCCCCATTCCTGTGGAAAAGGTGTGCTTAGGAGGTGCCTCCACAACATATTCTAATCCATTGATCTGTATGGTATCAAACAATCCACTCTGCTGCAGTGGGATTCTTCTACTCCCCGCCTCCCCTCAGCAATGAAGAATATCTTAAATTCCTCTCCTACTACTCAAGAAGAGGAGATTTTAGCTGTAATTGTTTTCCCTGTCCCTAGAGAGTGCTTCATTGTTGTGCAACCAGGGACCCTGTATACCTCTATTCTTTCCTATTCCTGCCTTATCCTAAAACTCCGAAGTGAAGAATATTCTTTCCC
Organism: Homo sapiens; assembly: GCF_000001405.40. Taxonomy (NCBI): domain Eukaryota; kingdom Metazoa; phylum Chordata; class Mammalia; order Primates; family Hominidae; genus Homo; species Homo sapiens. The sequence continues at coordinate 166,338 of NW_019805492.1, read as the reverse complement.
AAGAAGAATCATCCTGAGGACCACCACCCCCTCACCCCTCCCTCAAAGGAGCTGATCCAGGTTGTGGACAGTTACCCCACTTGGGCATAGGAGGTATTTGCTTTCAGCCTTTGAGGCTTATGGACAACAGATGGGTGAAGCTCTCTGTATGGTGTTAGTTTACCTAGCCCATGGAAGCTTGGAGCATCTGTGGTGAACCTGGAATCTCAGTTTAGCACAGAAAGGTACATCATCTTTAGGTACTTCCAATTCACCATCTGTGATGTGTGTGAAAGCCAAATAACCATAAACACAACCTCTACTAAAACCCAGGGTGCAAAGGGAGGTGACACAATATGGCACTCAGAGAGCGCTCACCATAAAACCTCCTATAGCTATGACCTTCCTGAAGTTGACTAAGGTGAGCAACAAAGAAATTTCTATATTCAGAAGCTTTTTAAAAACTCAAGGGCCACCCTTGGGGGAACTAAAAAACCTGAAAGAAGTACAATTGTGCATGCCATTCAGGAGGATCCGTGTTCACCTACTAAACCTGGTTCAGTGTTCTACCAGGCTTTATTTAAGATATTATATACTGACCACGGATTTTCAGGGAAACTTATATCAGAAATGACATCTGCAGGCTAATCAGGGGAACTTTTTTGGTACTCGTTGGGAGAAGGGAAAGGAAAAGGAAGAATAAAGGTTCTGATGTGGAAGTTCATTCATTTACTGATTCAACAATTATTTATTAATATGTACTATGTGAGAATTTCTATTCTAGGACCTGAGCATTTAACCATAAGCACAATAAGCAAAATCCCCTTGCCTCCATAGAGCTTGCCTTGTAATTTTGATAATAATGAATAGAATGGAACTTTATTTTTTTGTATTTCAGAGGAATAAAAACTGTAAGTAATCACTATTAAAATAATAATAGTAATGACTTCAACAGTAAAAACTCTGCTGTAGGAGAAAGAGAACGATGAATTTACTTTTTTAGACATTAGGACTTTCTCTGAACTTCAACACCTTTGAAATACAAATTTTCCTTAAGAAATAAAGATAATAAGCTTTACTGCTATTTCATTTGACAATTGTGAATCAATACTTTTCAGAGTAACCATTGTTTTTATAACTTCTGTAATTATTTAAACAGTGTTACTAATCTGTGAAGTTAGCACATATTTTATAATAGGGAAAAATTAAGAAAGATTATTTCACTCAGAGTTCTTACTCTTTCCAATTTGAGTGCTAGAAATTTTAAAACAGTATAAGCAGTAATGGCTTTGCTTTGAGACTTTTCCTGGCTTAACAAATCTAGTCAGCAAACATGTTACTTATTAAAATGTATTTTCCTTTCTTAAAGGAAAAAGCAACTTTCAAACTGGGGTCTTCGAACTCCAGATTCCTGTATGTTTCTGCAACTAGAGTTAGCCTCCATCCTATATTTCAGTGACAGGAGATGCTGGACTCAAAATTATTGCCATGACCAGCTCTGTGCCTAGAGCTCATGTGGCCTAGAGGCATGTGTAGTTCCAGCAAAGAGCCTCTGATGGCCTTGGGCTCCCTGTTTTCCTGGGAAGGGCATCATGACATTGCTCTGTGGAAAGCAATTAGGCAAAATATAAAAGTAACAACACCAAAGAAGCAAATATCTTTTGGTGCATGAATTTTACTTTTGGAACCTAAAAGTACAGAGAAGCACAAAAAAAATGTATGTACAGAAATATACATTGCAACATTGTTTATCAGGGTGAAAAGCTAAAACATATGAAATGCTCAAAAATAAGGAAGCGATCAGTCACTTTGGCAGGCCAACATAATGCAGGAGATTCACCCAACTGAGGCCTAGAGACACTCCTCTTTCTGTATTTCCTGTGTGTATTACATTAGATCTAGAGTATCACTTCCATGAGTTTAGGGACTTCCTACTTGTTCCTTCATATATCTCTAAAATCTATTACATGTTTGACACATTAAAGGCACTGAATAAATTCCTTAATGGAGACCGAAAGGAGCTCTTAAACTAAACTGACCAAATTTTACAAACTTAAGCGTGGCTTTTAGCAGTTGAAAATAAACTCTTTCAACACAGAAACAAGAAAATATTGTCCATCTACCCCAAAGACAATGAGCTATTTTTATTAATATTAGTTTTAATGGACAAATCATAATGTATACATTTATGGGGTACAATGTGAGGCTTTGATATATATATATATATACAATGTAGAATGATTAAATCAAACTAATTAACGTCACCTCATTTAACTATAATTTTTTATGATGAGAGATTTGAAATTTACTCTCTTAGTTATTTTGAAATACCAATACATTATCATTGACTACAGTCACTTTGCTGTGGAATAGATCTGAAAACTTATTACTGCTTTCTCTTGGAAACTTTGCACCTGTTAATCAACAATTCCCTATTCTCTTCCTCCCTACATCCCCAGCCTCTGGTAATAATTATTCTACTCTCTATTTCTGTAAGTTCAACTTTTTTAGTTTCTACATATAAGTAAGATCATGCGGTATTTTCCTTTCTGTGCCTATCTTATTTCACTTAGCATAATGTCCTCTAGGTTCATCCATCTTGTTGTAAATAACAAGACTTCCTTCTTTTTTGAGGACAAATACTATTTCATTGTATATGTTTACCATATTTTCTTTATTCATTCACTGATGGACACTGAGGTTGACTCCATATATTGGACATAAATAACCCGATTAAAAAATAGGCTAAGAACAGACAGACATTAAAAGAAGACATACAAATGGTCAACTGGTACCCTTTTTTTTTGAGACAGAGTCTTGCTCTCTTGCCCAGGCTGGAGTGCAGTGGTGTGATCTCGGCTCACTACAACCTCTGCCTCCCAGATTCAAGCTATTCTCATGCCTCAGCCTCCCAGGTAGCCGGGATTACAGGCATGTGCCACCACACCCAGCTAATTTTTGTATTTTTAATAGAGATGGGATTTCGCCATGTTGGCCAGGCTGGTCTCAAACTCCTGGCCTCAAGTGATCTGCCCACCTCGGCCTCCCGAGGGATTGTAAGTGCTGGGATTATAGGCATGAGCTACAGCACTCAGCAGTCAACAGGTACATTAAAAAATGTTCAGCATCACTAAACATTAGGGAAATGCAAATGAAAACCACAATGAGATATCACTTCACATCTGTTAGAATGGCTTTTATCAAAAAGATAAAAGAGAAGTGTTAGTAAGATTGCAGAGAAAAGGAAACTCTTGTACACTGTTGGTGGGAATGTAAATTAGTAAAGCTATTATGGAAAACTGTGTGGAAGTTCCTCAAAAAACTAAAAGTAGAACTCTACCATATGGTCCAGTAATCCTACTTCTGGGTATATATCCAAAGGAATTGAAATCAATATGTCCCAGGGATATCTGCACTCTCATGTTCATTGTGGCAGTTAGCTAATTTTAAAGATAATGACAAAAAGGAAAATTAACAAGGAATATCAATTAAAATTAACGGCAAGTTCTATTAACTATTTCTTATTTACGCCCCTTTCTTGTAGCTGAAGAGATCGTGGGTGGAATTTGTTCATATATTATAGCAAGTTTCTTGTTTGGAATTCTAAGTTCAAAACTGATTCAATTTTGGATGTCAACTGTTTTTGGTGATGATGTCAATCATATAAGTCTCATCTTTTCAATTCTGTATCTCATCTTTTATATTTGTAAGTGAGGGGCCTATGCCTAAAATAAAATCACATAGAAAACTTCAAAATAAAAATATATGAAAAATGCATACCAGGCAAAAGTTAGTAAAAACATTCAACTGATCTAGACAGAATATTTTTATTAAAATAATCTATCAAAAGATATTAAACATATGAATATCTATACAACAGAAACAATGTACCAATATTAGCAAACACTATTATAAAAGAAAGAAAAATTTGACAAAACTATCATTACAGAAAGATAAATTATTATGCCTTTCCCAGAGAATTTCATGACTAATTGAACAAAAAATGATTATGGTTATAAAAATATTTAAATATCTTATAAGGTTGGTTTATAAGATATATAGAGTTTTACCTCCCAAAACAGAATGCATATCCTTTACATATACCTGTAGACAATTCGCAGAAATTAACTCGAAGAACATTTCAATAAAATTTCAAACATTGTTCAAACATGATGCAATTAAATTAAATATGGACTACAAAAAGAGGGTTCCTACCAGGCGTGGTGGCTTATGCCTATAATCCTAGCACCTTGGAGGGCTGAGGCAGGAGGATCAACTGAGCCCAGGATTTCGAGACCAGTCTGGGTAAGATAGTGAGATCCCATGTCTACAAGAATTTTTAAAACTAGCTAGATGTGGTGGCACATGCCTGTAGTCCCAGCTCCTCAGGAGCCTGAGGCGGGAGGATCACTTGAGCCCAGGAATTTGAGGCTGCAGTGAGCTATGATCGCACTCCAGCCCGGGCAACAAAGAGAGAAGCCGTCTCTCTAACAAAAAGGCGGAGCGGGGGCAGTTTCTACCTGTAAATTAGATATTTTGTCTTGGTAACTGTTAGATCAAAAAGGCAATCAAAATAGAAGTTACATATCAAGTAAAGCTAAATGTTAGAGTATCTATCAATGTTATTAATCCATGTCCCACAATCACCTCCTCACAAAAATATGGTAGCTATTGATAATTAGCCATACTGCTGTTTCCTGACACAGCCTCAGAATCACATTTAACTCAGCTCTTCAGACAGCCCTTCACATGATTTGGAATTGACATGCAAGATAACACCTAGTTACCTCACCTGTACTATGTCTCTGTTACATTTAGGAATAAGACAATGGTGTATATTCTCACATCCATGATTTAAAATAATTCTGAAGGCTCTAGCTAATACAATAAGGGGGAACATTTATACATATTTTAAAAGAAAAAATGGTTAGATTAATCACGACATTTTATATCATATAGAAAATTCAACAGAATTAATTGGTAAACAAAGTCAGCAAGACCCTTTAATGGCTTGATATAAGATAAAGTTATCCAAAACAATTGACGGTATTTTTATCAGCCAGCAATAACTAGCTAGAAAATATGAAAATTTGATTCTTTTTGTATTGGTAAAAAGTTATAAAATATCAATGAATAAACTTAACAAATAGTTTGGACCTAAACATAGAAAATTATAAAAGTTATTAAGAAATATAAAATTTGAATAAATTGAAGCATAGAAAAACTATTCTTCAGAAGTGCTAGAGTAATGGGAATTTATTATTTTTCCCTCTGAAGAGGAAAAGGCAGACCAGAGGATCTTGAGGCTTTCTAATGAATTAATCAGTGGATTAAATTCAATTATAATATACCGAGGGTTACAGAATCAAGCTAATGAATTAACAGACAGTGAGAGAATGATCAGTTAATTCAGGTGGGTTCCTCATGTGCTAGTATTCATGTGTATACTTAGATTCCTAAAAGAAAATCCAACAAATATAATTTCCTCTAACATTATTTTTAATAAGTAACCCTAGTTTCAAGATTAAAGGTTATACTTAAGGAAATAATTTTAAACTTTTAGAGTCGAGATGTCTCAATAAACATTTTAGGAAGAAACCTGCCAAGACAGAATTTCATTAAAACAAGATACAGAGTAAATATAAATTTAATGTAAAAAGACTTTCCCTGTGACCTGGCTTCATGTTTATATTATTAGTACCTTCAAGATAGTCATTATAAATATTTTCCTGACTTCACCATCACCTAACAAGTTATAATACCTAATCCAGGGCTTGATTGTTTCAAAGAACCTATGTCCATGATTTCTTCTTCTTTCATGATTCAACAATGACTCTGCCTTTGTTACCATTTTCAGCCAGGACTAAAATAAAAAATAGACAACTTGTAATTTTCCATCTTTAGAAGGGAAAACTCAATAATGTAATAATGGCATTAATTTCACTAAATTAAACTTTATTACAATCCAAATCAAACAATGATAGAAATTTTTTTGGTTTTAAAATTTCCTTCTCTCTCTCTCTCTTTTTTTTTTTTTTTTTTTTTTGAGACGGAGTCTTGCTCTGTCACCCAGGCTGGAGTGCAGTGGCCCAATCTCTGCTCACTGCAAACTCCACCTTTCGGGTTCTCGCCATTCTCCTGCCTCAGCCTCCCAAGTAACTGGGACTACAGGTGCCCGCCACGACGCCCGGCTAATTTTTTATATTTTTAGTAGAGATGGGGTTTCACCATGTTAGCCAGGAGGGTCTCAATCTCCTGACCTCATGATCCACCCGCCTTGGCCTCCCAAAGTGCTGGGATTACAGGCGTGAGCCACCACGCCCGGCCCTGTCTCTCTCTTAGAAACAGAGTCTTGCTCTGTTGCCCAGGCTCTGGAGTACAGTGGCATGATCATGGCTCACTGCAGCCTCAACCTCCTGGGTTTAAGCAATTCTCCCACCTCAGCCTCCTAAGTAGCTGGTACTACAGGCATGTGCCAGCAAGCCAAGCCAATTTTTAAAATTGTTTGTAGAGACAGGGTCACATTATGTTGCCTAGGCCAGCCCTGAACCCCCGGTCTCAAGCAGTCATCCGTCAGCCTCCCAAAGTGCTGGAATTATAGGTATGAGCCACCGTGCCTATCTAAAATTTCATGACAATTTCAAAAGTTCAGCTAGAGAAATTAATGTGTGAGAATAGACAAGACAATTTTTTTAAGTGGAGAACTTTCTTTACCAGATAATTAAATGTTTTAATAGGTCTACAGTAATTAAAATACAACTGTTATAACACAAGAATACAAAGTAAGTCAAAGAAACACAAAGGGCACAGAAATAGTCGAAGTATGAATGACAATTTAATATATGATAAAAGTAGCATATCCACAATATTCTTTAGTATTAAAAACAAATATTTCAATTTTTACTTATTAACTAGAACTATGTCTGCTAAGAAGTTGTGGGCAAGTTCACGAAATCATCAGCTGATTTTCATTTCAACCCTCCAGAACCCATCTGAAATAACCAGACCTCTAAAGTGTGCTCTAGCCTCAATGGGGTATGCGAAGCAGTGCAAAGATGCCCATAGTAGGCTTTATAATACAATTGGATATAAGTTGGAGGAAGAAAAAGGACATGGGGTGGTGGTAATAATTTGCAATATTTTTCAGCTGAAATCAAGTGAAGTTGCCTCTCTATAAAAGTCATGGTACTGTCACAACATCTGATACTTTTAACTCGGGTAAAATTTGTGCTGCTGTTGATGTTAAATTAATACTTTATATTTATTTCTTTTTAAAAATAGGTGAGTTAGTTGGAATGTCAGGAATATTTACTCTGGCCATTGTGGGACTTCTTTTAAATTCTACAAGTTTTAAAGCAGCAATTGAAGAAACACTTCTTCTTGAGTAAGTGGATAGCATATTTTGACTTTATTTCATACACTGGAAGCTATAATATTATAATAGTAACAATATCTACATCTACATGGTCGAAGTAAGATTTTCAAAGACTTGAAAACTACCCAACTAAAAACCTTTCCTAGATTTTATTTTTTCTTGCCTGTGTCTTTGAATCCTCCAATTTAAAGCAAATTCGTAACCTTACCTTGAGTTCATGTTGGTTCTCTTTCCCCACTCATTCCTCAAATCTCTGATTATCTCCTCAATAATTTCCCATATAAAATCTTGTACCCACTAGTAAGAGGGTGCCAAAAGTGCAGTAATTGAGAAGTAATATTTTAATATTTTAATGCAATATTTTAAAATTAAGTTTAATTAAGTTGAACTTAAGGCAAAAAAAATCTAAAGATGAGTATTTTAAGGACAATGAGGTGCTGTGTAAAGCAAATCAGAAGAGTAAGCTGGGGCATTTGAAGAGGATTAGCAGTGTTATAAAAGAAAGTATGACCACACTAAATGTAAGCAAGACTATGGGTGGAAAAGTGCAAATTGTGCCTTGCTCAAGGGAATTCAGCTAAGGGGTGAGTAGTTATCAGCCAAAAGGAAGAGCACTTTCCATAATGCTTCAATACATAGGGTGGAAACTTGACCTGAACCACATAATGAAAACATATGTGTTAACAAAGGCCCTGAAAGTAAACCATGGTTTTTAGAGTTTTGGGACAACGTTATAGAAGATAGAATTAATTCTGATATAAGAAGCTTAAAAGATATAGGGTCTTATAGGATTCTGGAGCACTTCAATAAAATTCCATGCCAATTACAATGGAAGTAAATTGTACTTGCACTTAGGCAAAATTAAATGGACCACAGCTGAGGGAAGAATTTAAAATGCTACACAAGTATTAGTTATATATATGGGGAATGATTCTGAAGGTTTTCCTCCCCTTCTTGCTCCAACTGTAAGCTGGATCTTCAAATATATTACTTATCTTTATTCTTCATTCCTTATAAGTTGTGATGTCTTTCTTGCCTGCGTTCCTAGTACTATTGAGCCTACAATTGAAGTAGGTGATCTCTCTGAACCTCGAAGTGATTTCTAAATCATTCTATCTCCTACTTCCTTAAAAGAATCCAATTTTGAAGCTCGTGCCATCAGAATATGCCATCTGCCTCTTGATTGTGATTATCTATAGAACTCTAAGTCACATTCTCCATTTTGTGAAGATTTTAGTTCCTGTCTCACTGTGACTCTCCAATATTACTCTATCACCATTCTTAGTGATGTCAATATTCATACAGTTAATCCTTCTACTCCCTCATCTTTCAATTCCTGGATCTTCTCTCCTTGTATAAGTATGTCCACCACTCCTCTTTAACCACCCACTCCCACAGTTGTACAAGTAACTACTTCATAAACTCAATTGCAAGAATCTTACTATCTAAAATATGGTATGTACCAACTTCTACTCTTGAAGACAGTGAAAATCTAAGACAATAGTGTTAAATCCTACTAACATCTCAAAACAACCTGTAACAGGTCCATGTTAACTCTTTAACATAGAAGGTGTACCATCTCCCATCTTTTCACTATATGCCCTCTAGTACCTAAATTCTCACGATTCTGCAACCATACTGAGACTAAAATTTATTGATTCTATGATCTTTTACTGACCTTCACCCATCTCATATTTTCAATTCCTCTTTATCCAGGTCATTTCTTTTGTGTAAAATAATTTAATAACTTTTCATCATTTTCAGCTACAAGTCAAAGTTGTTTGTAAATGTTTTATTCATTTTTTGGTAATCATTAGCACAATGATTCACATAGATAAACCTTGTAATAAAGATGTCAAATTAATTAATTATAAATATTTTTAATTTTTTCTGAATGATGCAGATTCTGGACTTTTCTATCACGTATTGCTTTTCTCATGGTGTTTACTTTCTTTGGACTTCTAATTCCTGCACATACATATTTGTATATAGAATTTGTTGATATATACTATTCATTAAATATCTACTTAACATTGATTGTTTTAAGGTAAGAACATCATTAAAATTTTTCTATTTATAGATAATTGAGTAAGTTTGAAGGTCATCTTTTAAATAACACAAAGATTTCGTACCTTAGATTGAAAAATTGACTCAAACTTTCCAAGGATCATCAGCAAATAAATGCTTTGTAATTTTTTTTTGGCTTTTAACTAAATTTCAAAGCAATGCAAACTCTATAAGTTTTTTTAATTAGAAAAAAACTCAACATTTGACATATTTTGTCCAATGTTTTTGTAATGACATTTCATGAAGTTAAGTACCTATTATAAATAAAAATCTTGTTTTTGCTCAATATTATATAACAAACAATTTTCTATTAATTAAAAACTATAGTTAGAAATTGCTTTTTAAATATCATAGGGAAGCCCTCTTTGTAAACATCTTTTTTTCTCAAATCATTTTTGTAGTTTCTTTTTCCACTGTTAAGAGGTAGAAAAAGTCTGTTTATGTAGCTGAAAAGGAGATAGCATAGAGTGAGAAAAACCACCATAACTAGAGTCTCATAGGTCTTTAATCTCCATTACTCAAATGATTAACATTCTACTTCCATCTAGTTGAATTGCTGAAGTCAAGGCATCTAGTGCCAAGTAAAATAAAATTATTTCCCAAATTATCAGATAAAATTAGTGTAAAACATAGGAATGATATATGACTGAAGGAAAAAAAAATCTGGCCAATATTGGACCAATTCAGCAAGATTAAAATCTATAAACAAAAAGAAACAGAGAACATTTTCTCACTTCTTATTCATTAAATTTGTTTTTATTTGGGGTGGGGATTCAGAATTTATGTACAACACATCTCGAACTTTTCTTTTTCCTCCTGAAGGAGCACCACTCAAGGATGATGTAAATTTACTATGCTACTCACCTAGTAGAAAGAAAGAAAGAATAATACCATTCTCTTGGCATGTCTCTCTATGGAATACCTGCTGCCTTTCTTTGGTGTCATGTCAACAGTGTGTGAAAGATGTCTCATTTGTTTGAGAGTTAGGAATTCTACAGGGAGTAGATTAGAATAGAGTAGCATGAAATGGAAAGAAACTCATATGAAAGAATAACTTTGTAAAAATTGTTTTGTCTTTTAGATTTCTGACCCTTCTTTTAATAAGCCCTGTTTTGTCTCGAGTTGGTCATGAGTTCAGTTGGCGCTGGATATTCATAATGGTCTGTAGTGAAATGAAGGGGATGCCTAATATAAACATGGCCCTTCTGCTTGCCTACTCTGATCTTTATTTTGGATCTGACAAAGAAAAATCTCAAGTAAAGAAAGCTGTATTTTCTTATCTGAATATTGTATAAAACTATTACTGTGTATTTAAAATATATGTTTTTTTGTAGTGAGGTAGCTCAACTTCACTTGGGATGTAGGAGTGATTTAGCTATGATGGCAAGATCGGGGAGAGGAGGAACAACTGGCAACTTTCCTTCTCCCCTGAAATAGGTTTATTACAAAGATCAAAGTAATTAAAACTTATCAATCATTTAAAATAGTACCTGGCATAAAAGGTGCACTCAATAATGTTTTAATTATTTATTGCACTCAAGAGAAGTGAAAACTTTCTTATGATTGGCCCTATTACCTTCTGTAACTTTCTGAGGCTCATTTAGTAATGCTATGAGCCAAAACATTTTAATTGTCAGGTAAAACACTCTAAACAGTACCCTCAAACTCTGCTTAGCAGAAAATACAGGGCATAACTCTCCTTCTACCATGTGTCTGGGCAAGATAATTACAAGGATCTCTGTAAGAAAATTTCTGTGCAGATATCACAGAGCATCTGATGCTTTTATCATCTGGGTTTTTTTTTTTAACAAAAATTCCAAATGTAAAAAGAGAAGTGGCAAGATAATCATTATGTATCTACTTAAATAATACTCAGTCCAAATATTTAAAAAACTAATCTTTAAACTGCCTTTAAAATCAAAATTATCTGATATTGCATGACCTCTCCCTTCTATCTATTTCTACAAGCCCAAATATTCAAGATCAGTGTCATCACCATACACCTGATCAGTGTGACGGCTAACCTTGTGCACAGATCTAGGTTCTGAAATTTTCAGCTTAGATGCTATTTGCTGCGTGGACATCAGCAAGTTTTTAATTTCCACCTCACCTCAAGTATCAGTTTCCTCACTCCAAAACAGACTTAATAGTATCAATGGTTTGCTGGTAAATATTTAACAAGTAACTTAAGTGTTGAGGTGAGAGGAAGTCCTAATTTGTAGTATTTGCCCATTTCTGTTGTGTAATCACTTCCACCAACAGAACATCAGTCAGCTCATAAACTTCCTGAAATTGAACGATTAGCTCTCATGAGCTAGTAAGAGCCAGCCTAGCACACTACTTTCACAAAGCATTATTATGAGAAACAAAAAATGTACATAAAACACTTGGCACATTGTTTAGCATATAGCAATTGTACAATAAATACAAGCTCTGATGATGAAATTATAAGTGATGATATACTTTGCCGTAGTGTTTTAAAATAAAATTTTAGTAAGTAAAATCATTTAGTAAATATCCTCACTAGAAGTAACTCCTTGAGAAGAAAGTAGAACTCCTTTTCTCAATTTAATCTAGCTGAACCCTACAGTTAATACTTACCCAGAGGCATTATAGTAAAGGGTTAAAAATACTAACATCAAAGACATATTGCCTTTTTAATTCTGTCTCTACTACTCATAAGTTATGTTATATTGGGAAAGTCACAGTGCCCTAGATTCCCATCTGTGTAATTGTACAGTATTGGTAATTACCTCACAAAATTGCAGTGAAGATTAAATAAGCCTCGTATATTGTATTATTAGCCTGTTATATGTGTTAGCTCTTATTAATTTTAAACTATTTAACTAATTGAGTGGTCTTTTACCTAGAATGCAATGCACTTTAGATTGATTTAGGAACTTTTTGAAAAATATCAATGTCTGTGGAATTCTAGTCTTTACTATGATGAATAGTGGATATCAGACTTACTTTCCATAGTAAACAACTACAAAAATGTTTAAAATATATGAAGCAACTGATTTGGGGTATTGGATAAGGGACATTGCCTGGTTAGATCCTTCAGAGAAATGGAACACATAAGGAGAGTTCACATTCACTCTGATCTTTCTTCAAAAATGTTGCAGAGAGAAGTGAAGGCCAAACAGGATGCAGTAAACTTACTGGGCAGAAAATACCTATATGAGAGTTTAGGGCTACTTAAGTAGCTAGAATTTGGGGAGGCAGGGTATCATGGAGGGAAGAATTGTGTAGAAAAAGGAGCACCAGAAATTTAAATTTCCTTGGATCATTACTTCAATACTAATCAAAACAAGCAGAGATTTTGCAGGAGGAGCAGCAGAAAAGAGCTGCTTGGGAGCTTTTGGCTGAATGGATATTGTAAAGGCCACACAGCTCTGGCAGATACTTAAGTTCTGACTAGCCATGGTGTATAAACCTCACTGAAAACCACATAGGTTAAGTTGTGAATCCAGAAAGACCATGTCTTAGAAATAAGAATTATGCCCTAAAGAAATGTGTATTTTAGACCCATTTGAAGAAAGACTAGAATCACGCCTTAGTAGGATAATGTGACCTGCCAGCAAATTAACTGCCTGACACAAAACTCAGAAACTCTTTACAGGAAGACAATGTAATCAAGACTCTCAAGAATGTGACATCCACAATATGTAGCCTAAAATCTAATATTACTATGCATGTGAAGAAGCAGGAAAATGTGGTCTATTACTAAGGGAAAAAATTATTCAATAGAAACGACCCAAAGGTGACACAGATGTTGGAACCAGCAATACTTTAAAAAATATACTCAAGAATCTAAAGAAAAAAATGGACATAGGAAATGAAGATATGGGATATTTCAGTGAAGAATTGAAACCATAAAAAAACTAAAGAAAAATTCTAGAAATAAGAAATATCCAAACTAAAAATTTTCGTTATGAGCTTCATGGCAGATTGGACTGTGCAGAAGAAAAAAAATAAGTTCTAAGTTGATATGTTCTACAAGAGTGAGAAAATATATGAAGCAAAAACTGATAAACCTAAAGGGAGAAATAGATAAATTATAATTGGACACTTTAATACTCCTCTATATAACTCAACAAATTATAGAACAACTAGACAGAAAATCAGCAAAGACATGAAAGAATTGAAATCATCATTGACAAATAGGATCCAATTGATATTTATGGAAATTATATCAATTGATGCAGAAAAAGCATTTTACAAAATGTAAAATCCATTCATGATAAAAACTTCAAAACATAAGAATAGAAGGGAATTTTCTAATGTTGATAGAGAACATCTGTAAAAAGTCTGTAGGTAACAACATAATTAATAGTGAAAGACTGTTTTCCCTTTAAGATTTGGAGCAATGTAAAAATGTCTACTTTTTCTTTTTGTAAAACTTTATTTTAGGTTCAGGGATACATGTGCAGGTTTGTTGTATGGGTAAATTGCATGGCATGGAAGTTTGGTGTACAGATCATTTCACCCAGGAAATAAACATAGTACCCGATAGATATTTTTTCCATTCTCACCCTCCTCCCAACCTCCACCCTCAAGTAAGCCCAGTGTCTGTTGTTTTCTTCCTTGTGTCCATGTGTACTCAATGTTTAGCTCCCACTTATAAGTGTGATACATGGTATTTGGCTTTCTGTTCTTGTGTTAGTTCACTTAAGATAATGATCTCCACCTCCATCCATGTTGCTGCAAAGGACACGAGGACATGGTCTTGGTTTATGTTTTTTGCTTTTTTTTTTTTTTTTAGATAGGTAAACTCATGTCACAGTGGTTTGTTGTAGAGAATATTTTATCACCCAGGTACCAAGCCTAGTTCCCAATAGTTATTTTTTTTCCAATCCTCTCCCTTCTCCTATCCTCCACCTTCAAGTAGTCCCCACTATCTGTTGTTCCCTTCTTTGTGTCCATATGTTCTCATCATTTAGCTCCCACTTATAAGTAAGAACATGCAGTATTTGGTTTTCTGTTCCTGCGTTAGTTTACTAAAGATAATGGCCTCCAGCTCTGTCCATTTTCCTGCAGGACATGATCTCATTCTTTTATGTGGCTGCATAATATTCTAATGTGGTTTGGCTTTGTGTCCCCACCCAAATCTCATGTTGAATTGTAATTCCCAATGTTAGGGGAGGGACCTCGTGACTGGATCATGGGGGTGGATTTCCCCCTTACTGTTCTCATGATAGTGAGTGAGTTCTCATGAGATCTGGTTGTTTAAAAATGTGTAGCACTTCCCCTTTGACTCCCTCTCTCTCCTGCTCTGCCATGTGAAGATTTTGCCTGCTTTTCCCCTTTGCCTTCTGCCGTGATTGTAAGTTTCCTGAGTCCTCCCCAGCCATGCTTCCTGTACACTCTGCAGAATCATGAGCCAATTAAACCTTTCTTCTTTATAAATTACCCAGTCTGGCTGGGTATGGTGGCTCATGCCTGTAATCTCAGCACTTTAGGAGGCTGAAGTGGGTGGATCACTTGAGGTCAGGAGTTTGAGACCAGCCCAGCCAACATGATGAAACCCTGTCTCTACTAAAAATACAAATACCTGTAAAACTAAAAATAAAAATACAAATAGCCTGTGTGGTGGTGCGCACCTGTAGTCCCAGATACTCAGGAGACCGAGACATGAGAATCTCTTGAACCCTAAAGGTGGAGGTTGCCGTGAGCTGAGATTGCACTGTTGCACTCCAGCCTGGGCGACAGAGTGAGACTCCATCTCAAAAACAAAAACAAAAACAAAAAAACCCAAACAAACAAACAAACAAAAAAACCCACCCAAATCTCAGGTAGTTCTTGATAGCAATGTGAGACTGGACTAATACATATTCTGTGGTGTATATGTACATTTTCTTTATCCAATCTGCCATGGTGGGCATTTAGGTTAATTCTATATCTTTGCTATTTGTGAATAGTGCTGCAATGAGCATAGGCATGCATGTGTCTTTATGGTAGAACAATTTATATTCTTTTGGGCATATACACAGGAATGGGATTGCTGGGTCAAATGGTAATTCTGATTTTAGCTCTTTGAAGAATTGCCACACTGCTTTCCACAATGATTGAACTACCTTACACTCCCACTAACTGTATAAGTGTTCAGTTTTCTCTGCAACCTCGCCAGCATTTGTTATTTTTTGACTTTTTAATAATAGCTATTCTGACTGGTGTGAGATGGTATCTCATAATGGTTTTGATTTGCATTACTCTAATGATCAATGATACTGAGCTTTTTAAAATATGCTTGTTAGCTGCATGTACGTCTTCTTTTGAAAACTGTCTGCTCATGTCCTTTACCTACTTTTAATGGGGTTGTTTTCTTGTAAATTTGTTTAAGTTCCTTATAAATGCTGGATATTAGACCTTTGTCAGATGCATAGTTGGCAAATATTTTCTCCCATTCTGTAGGTTTTATATTTACTCTGTTGATAGTTTCTTTTGCTGTGCAGAAACTCTTACGTTTAATTAGATCAATTTTATCAAGTTTTGCTTTTGTTGTGATTGCTGTTGGCATCTTTGTCATGAAATCTTTGCCACTATCTATGTCCAGCATGGTATTGCCTAGGTCGTCTTCCAGGGTTTTTATAGCTTTGAGTCTTACATTTAAGTCTTTAATCTATCTTGAGTTGATTTTCTTATGTAGTGTAACGAAGGGGTCCAGTTTCTACCTTCTGTATATGGCTAGCTAGTTATCCCAAAACCATTTATTGAATAGGGAGTCCTTTCCCTATTGCTTCTTTTTGACAGCCTTGTCCAAGATAAGATGGTTGTAGGTGTGCAGCCTTATTTCTGGGCCCTCTCTTCTACTCTGTTGGTATAAATGTCTGTTTTTGTACCAGTACCCATGCAGTTTTGATTACTGTAGCCCTGTTGGACATTTTGAAGTCAGGTAATGTGATGCCTCCAACTTTGTTCTTTCTGCTTAGTATTACCCTGGCTATTTGGGCTCTTTTTGGTTCCATACGAATTTTAAAATAGATTTTTCTAGTTCTGTGAATGTCATTGTTAGTTTGATAAGAATAGCATTCAATTTGTAAATTCTTTGGGGCAGTATGTCCATTTTAATGATATTGATTCTTCCTATCCATGAACATGGATTATTTTCCATTCATTTGTGTCATCTCTGATTTCATTGGGCAGAATTTTGTAATTCTCATTGTAGAGATTTTTTACCCCACTGGTTAGCTATATTCTTAGGTATTATTTGGGCAATTATGAATGGGATTGAATTCTTGATTTGGCTCTTGGCTTGGTTGGTGGTGGTGCATAAGAATGCTGATGAATTTTGTATGATGATTTTGTATCCTGAAATTTTGCTGAAGCTGTTTACCAGTTGATGGAGATTTGGGCCAACTATGGGGTTTTCTAGATACAGAATCATGTCATCTGCAAATAAGGATAATTTGACTTCTTTTCCTATTTGGATGCACTTTATTTCTTTCTCTTGCCTGATTGACCTGGCCAGGACTTCCGGTACTATAATGAGTAGGACTGGTGAGAGAGGGCATCCTTGTCTTGTGCCAGTATTCAAGAAGAATGCATCTAGCCTTTGCCTACTCAGTATGATATTGGCTGTGGGTTTGTCATAAAGGGCTCTTATTATTTTGAGGTATGGTCCTTCGATACCTAGTAGATTGAGAGTTTTTAACAGGAAGAGATGTTGAATTTTATCAGTCTTTTCTGCATCTATGGAGATCATCATATAGTTTGTCTTAACTTCTGTTCTGATCAATAACATTTATTTATTTGCATATATTGAACCAACCTTGCATCCCAATCAAGCCTACTTGATTGTGGTGGCTTAGCTTTTCCATGTGCTGCTGGATTTTGGTTTACTAGTATTTTGTTGAGGATTTTTGCATCAATGTTCATCAAGCATATTGGCCTTAAGTTTTCTTTTTTGTTGTTTCTCTGCCAGGTTTTGATATTAGGATGATGCTAGCCTCATAGAATGATTTGGGGAGGAGTTTTTCCTTCTCCATTTTTTGGAATAGTTTAAGTAGAAATGGTACCAACTCTTCTTTGTGTATCTGGTAGAATTAGCCTGCAAATTTGTCTGGTCCATGGCTTTTTTTGGTTGGTCTATTTGTTACTGATTCAATTTGGGAACTCACTACTGGCCTGTTCAGGGAAACACTTTCTTCCTGGTTGAGGCTTGGAAAGATGTATGTGTCTAGGAACTTATCCATCTCTTCTAGGTTTTCTAGTTTGTGTGCATAGGGGTGTTCATAGTAGTCTCTGATGGTTATTTGTATTTTTGTGGGGTCAGTGGTAGCATACACTTTGTCATTTTTAATTGGGCTTATTTGAATGTTCTCTTCTTTATTAGTCTAGCTAGAAGCTTATCTGTCTTATTAATTTTTTCATAAATAAAAAGAACCACCGCATCCATTGATCTTTTGAATGATTTTTTGTGTGTGTTTTGATCTCCTCGGTTCAGCTCTGATTTTGGTTATTTCTTATCTTCTGTTAGCTTTGGGACTGGTTTGCTCTTGCTTCTCTAGTTCTTTTAGTTGTGATTTTAGGTTGTTAACTTGAGATCTTTCTTTTTGATTTGGGCGTTTCATGATATAAATTTCTCTCTTGACATTGCCTTAGCTGTGTCCCAGAAATTCTGGTATGTTGTCTTTTTGTTCATATTAGTTTTGAAGAACTTCTTGATTTCTGCCTTTATTTTATTATTTACCCAAAACTCATTAAGAAGCAGGTTGTTTAATTTCCATGTAATTGGATGGTTTTGAGTAGTTTTTTAGCCTTAATTTCTGTTTTTATTGTGCTGTGATCTTAGAGTGTGTTCAGTATGATTTTTTTCTATTGCATTTGCTGAGGATTGTTTTACGTTTGATTGTGTGGTTGATTTTAGACTTTTTGCCATGTGGTGATGAGAAGAATGTATATTCTGTTGTTTTTTGATGGAGAATTCTATAGAGGTCCATAAGGTCCATTTGGTCCAATGCTGAGTTCAGATCCTGAATATCTTTGTTCATTTTCTGCCTTAATGATACGTTTGCTACTGTCCGTGGAGTGTGAAAGTCTCCCACTATTCTTGTGTGGGAGTATAAGTCTCTTTGTAGGTCTCTAAGAACTTGGTTTATGAATCTCAGTGCTCCTCTGTTAGGTGCATTAATATTTAGTATAGTTAGGTCTTCTTATTGAATTGAACCCTTTACCATTGTGTAATGCCCTTCTTTGTGTTTTTAAAAACTTTGTTGTTTTAAGTCTGTTTTGTCTGCAAATAGGATTGTTTAACTCCTGCTTTTTTTTTGTTTTCCATTTGCTTGGAAAATATTTTATTTTGAGCCTATGAGTGTCACTGCAGATGAAAGGGGTCTCTCGAAGACAGCACACCATTGGCTCTTGGTTCTTTATCCAGCTTGCTGCTCTCTGTCTTTTAAATGGGGCATTTAACCCATTTATAGTCAAGGTTATTATTGATATGTGTGGATTTGATCTTGCCATTGTGTTGTTAGCTGGTTATTATGTCAGTTTGTTTGTATAGTTGCTTTATTGTGTCACTAGTCTATGTATTTATGTGTGTTTTTGTGTTGGCTGTCAGTGATCTTTCCTTTCTATATTTAGTGCTTTTTTCCAGATCTCTTGCAAGGCAAGTCTGTTGGTAACCAACTCCTTCAGTATTTGCTTATCTGAAATAAAAAAAATTTATTTCATGTTCACTTAGGAAGCTTAGTTTGGCTGGATATGAAATTATTGGTTGACGATTTTTTGTCTAAGAATGTTGAATATAAGCCCCCAGTCACTTCTGGCTTGTAGGATTTCTACTGAGAGATCCACTGTTAGCCTGATGGGGTTCCTTTTGTAGGCGACCTGCCCTTTCTCTCTAGCTGCCTTTAATTTTCTTTTCTTCATTTTGACATTGTAAAATCTGATGATTGTGTGTCTTGGGGATGATCTTCTTGTATAGAATCTTGCAAGGGTTCTCTGTATTTCCTGAATTTGACTGTTGGCCTCTCTAGCAAGTTTGGAGAAGTTTCATGAACAATTTTCTGAAATATGTGTTTTAAGTTGTTTGCTTTCTCCTCATTCCTTGCAGGGATGCCAATAATTTGTAGTTTTACCCCTTTACATAATCCCATATTTTTCAGAAGTTTTGTTTAAACTTTTTCATTCTTTTTTCATTTTTATCTGACTGTCTTATTTCATGGATCAAGCCTTCAAGTTCCAAGATTCTTTCCTCATCTTGGTTTATTCTGCTGTTAATACTGGCAATAACCTTGTGGAATTTTTGTAGTGTGCTTTTCAGCTCTCTCAGATCAGATCTGTGTATCATTTTATTGTGATTCTTAGCTTCCTCGGATTGGTTTTGCCATTCTTCTGAATCTTGATGATATTCATTACTATCCACATTCTGAATTCTATTTCTGTTGTCTCAGCCAACTCACCCTGGTTAAGAACCCATGTCGGAGAACTAGTGTGGTCATTTGGAGGATATAAGACACTCTGGCCATTTGAGTTGACAGAGTTCTTGCATTGGTTCTTTCTCATCTCTGTGTTTGGGTGTCCCTTTAGCTGTGGTGCAGATTGTGTGCAGTCAGTAGACTTCTTTTCTGAATGTTTTCATTGGGCCAAGGCTTTCTGCAGAGTCTTTATTTGCAAATGACTTCTTGTCTTTGGTTTCACAGGGCAGATATGTTAGTGAGGAGGTATTTTTGGTGTTGAAACTTTGGGGTGTGAACCAGTAGGTGGTGGTTAGGTATTGTGGTCAGTTGGTGGGCTCTTGCTTGGTCACATGGCTCCCCTACATTTCCTTACAGTTGCAGCCATGCTCTCTGTCAATGCCCTGAACATGTGGGCTCCTTTCCTACTTGAGTGCTGGCTGTAGATCACAAATTGGCACTCCAAGGCTGCCTACCACAGCTCTTGTGTGATCTCACTGTTGCCTTCCCCAACTTGGCGGCAACAGTGGAAATGACCTTAGCAGTGGTTGTGGATGAAGGTCTTTTGCCTGTCTGCTGGGGGTTCTACCCCAGAGAGATGCAGGTGAGTAATCATTCAGTGCAATTGTCCAGAATGCGGGATCTGTGCTGTGGGCCCAAGCTTAGTGAGGAGACATAGGTTTAAGGGCCCACATAACAGTCTGGTTACTTTTTCGTAAGGATGCTGTGGTATGCTGGCAGTCATCACCAGTCCCTAGTCTCCTCAGATTTTCCAGGACCTGAAGGTATCATTAGTGATGGCTGTGAAACAGAAAAATGGTGGCCTGCTCCTCCCCCTCCCTTTGGGAACTCCAACCCAGGGAGGTACAGACATTTTGCCAGCCTGAACACACCAGCAGGAGGTGGCTGGAGTCTCCACTTGGTAGATCTCGCCTACTGTGGAGGAATGGGATCATGGACCCACTTAAAAAAGCAGTCTGACCTATTTTCCCAAGGGCAGCAGTGCTTTGCTGGCAGTTCACTCCAGTCCCTGGTCACCTTGACTCTCTAAAGCCTGAAGGCAACAATGGCTAAGGCTACTAAACAGCAAAGATGGCAGTCTACTCCACCTTCTGAGAGCTCTGTCCCAGAGAGTTCTGAAATTGCTGCTGACCAGAAAACACCAGCAGGGGTGGCTGGAGACCCCAATCAGGATATCCCACCCAGTGAGAAGGATCAAAATCAGGAACCTGCATAAAAAGGCATTCTGTCTGCTTTTTCATAGAGCAATTGTGCTGTTCTGGGGGTCTGCTTAAACCTCCAGTTGCTTCACACTCTCCAAAGCCTAAAGGCCACCATGCTTAAGTTGAGAAACAGCAAAGATGGTGGCCTACCTCTCCCTCTGGTAGCCCCATCCCAGGGAGGTTGGAAACTGCTGCTGACCAGAAAACACTGGTGGGGGTGGTCATAGACTGTGGTCAGGAAATTCTGCCTGGGGAAGAGAACTAGGACCTCGGACCCATGTGAAAATGCAGTCTGGCTGTTTATCCATAGAGCAGCTGCACTGTTCTGGGGGACTTTTCCAGTCCCTAGTCACCTCAGAATCCCTAGAGCTCAAAGGCAACAATGGCTAAGGCTGTGTAACAGCAAAGATGGTGGCCCATCCCTCCCACAGGGACCTCCATCCCAGGGAGGCTGGGAACCACTGCAACCCAGAAAACACTGGCTAGGGTGACTGGAGAGCCCAGTCTACAGTCTGACATGCAGAGCTACATGGAATATTAGCAGAGCAGCCACTCATATGGAGCCCTGGGCAATTTAGATACCTGGGCTTCCCAGCAAAAGTGGCAGCAATTTGAGCAAGGTTGGGGGTTAGATCCCTGTCCATACCTCTAGGAAAGGAGATGATTCAGGGGGCTGACCCAAGAGTTGCAAAGATCCATGGGAGAAGCATGGATACCCAGAATCACTCATTCACTCACCTGCCCAGAGAGGAGAAGCAGGATCATGGACCTGTGTAAAAAAGCAAGCTGGCTACTCTTCCACAGGGCAGCTGCACTAAAGGCAACAATGGCTAAGGCTATGAAACAGCAAAGATGGTGGCTTGCACCTCCCTCTCAGAGCTTGGTCTCAGGGAGGTGTAATGCTGCTACTGGTGGATGACTGAAGTTTCAAGCAGTGGGTCTTATCCCAGGAGATGCCATGGGAGTGATGCCTGTAGACCATTGCTACTCAGGCCTCCTGGATCACCTCCTTTCCTAGAGTACGTTCAGGAGTCTAATCTCTGACTTTGCTGAAGTTGCAGCCACTTTTGCTGGGAACCCCAAGTATCTGAAGCACCTAGGGCTCCACGTGTGCTTGGATGGCTGCTCTGCTAAGACTCCATGTTAGACTGAAGGCCTTGATGGAGTCGGTTCATGAGGGGATTTCCTGACCTGAGGGTTGCAAAGATCCATGGGAGAAGAATGGGTGCCCGGAATCAGTCACTCACACACCACTTCCCTGTGTAGGGGAGGCTCCCCTGACTCTGTGTCACTCCTAGGTGGGTGGTCATCCTGCCTTGATTTTCCTTGTTCTCTGTGGGTCAAGTTTTTTGCTTTATGAATCCCAGTGTGTGTACCTGGATGTTTCAGCTGAAAACACTGTATTTACTCACCCCTTCTATTTCTCTCCATGATAGAGGTGCATACTAGCTGCTTCTAGCCAGCCATCTTGGTCAGTTTCCCAATCTTGTTCTTTTTATGACTGCATAGTATTCCATGGTGTATCTGTACCACATTTTCTTTATCCAGTCTACAATTGATGGGCATTTTGCTTGATTTCATGTATTTACTCTTGTGAATAGTGCTGTGATGAACATACACATGCATATGTCTTTATGGTAGAACAATTTATATTCTCTTAGATAAATACCCAATAATGGGATTGCTGGGTCGAATGGTAGTTCCAAGTTCTTTGAGAAGTCACCAAACTGCTTTCCACTGTGGCTGCCTTAATTTACATTCCCACCAGCAGTATATAACTGTCCCTTTTTCTCTGCAAACTTGCCAGCACCGGTTATTTCTTGACTTTTTAGTAATAACCAGTCTGAGTGGTGTGAGGTGGCATCTCATTGTGGTTTTGATTTGCACTTCTCTGGTGATAGCGATTTTCACATGTTTCACGTGTGTGTTGGCCATCTATATGTCTACATTCTTTTTTGAGTTGTGAAAAACCATAGACACAACAGGTGCTGGAGAGGATGTGGAGAAATAGGAACACTTTTACACTGTTGGTGGGACTGTAAACTAGTTCAACCATTGTGGAAGTCAGTGTGGTGATTCCTCAGGGACCTAGAACTAGAAATACCATTTGACCCAGCCATCCCATTACTAGGTATATACCCAAAGGATTATAAAACATGCTGCTATAAAGACACATGCACAGGTATGTTTATTGTGGCACTATTCACAATAGCAAAGACTTGGAACCAACCCAAATGTCCAACAATGATAGACTGGATTAAGAAAATGTGGCACATATACACCATGGAATACTATGCAGCCATAAAAAATGATGAGTTCACGTCCTTTGTAGGGACATGGATGAAGCTGGAAACCATCATTCTCAGCAAACTGTCGCAAGGACAAAAAACCAAACACCGCATGTTCTCACTCATAGGTGGGAATTGAACAATGAGAACACATGGACACAGGAAGGGGAACATCACACACTGGGGACTGTTGTGGGGTGGGGGGAGGGGGAGGGATAGCATTAGGAGATATACCTAATGCTAAATGACGAGTTAATGGGTGCAGCACACCAACATGTCACATGTATACATATGTAACTAACCTGCACGTTGTGCACATGTACCCTAAAACTTAAAGTATAATTTAAAAAAAAACATAGAAAACATCGATGAAACCAGAAGTTGGTTATCTGAAACAATAAATAAGATTGATAGGTTGCTAGCTAGACTAATAAAGAATAAAAGAGATTATCCAAATAAACACAATCAGAAATGACTTAGAGGACATTACCACCAACCCCACAGAAATACAAGAATCCCTCAGAAAATGCTGTGAACACCTCTGCACACAAACTAGAAAACCTACAAGAAATAGATAAATTATTGGAAACAACAAACTCCCAAGATTAAACCAGGAATAAATTGAAACCCTGAACAGACCAATAACGAGTTCCAAAATTGATTCTGCATCTAATAACCTACCAACTAGAAAAAGCCCAAACAAATTCATAGATGAATTGTACTTTAAAGAGCTGGTACCACTTCTACTAAAACTATTCCAAAAAATTTAGAATAGACTCCTCTCTAACTTACACTATGAGGCCAGCATCATCCTAATAGCAAAACCTGGCAGAGCTAGCAGAGACACAACAGAAAAATAAAACTTCGGGCCAATATCCTTGAAGAATATAGATGCAAAAATCCTCAACAAAATACTGACATACCCAATCCAGCAACAAATCAAAAAGCTAATCTACCCATGATCTAGTAGGCTTTATCCTTTGGATGCCAGGTAGATTCAATACATACAAATAAGTAAATGTGATTCATCACATAAACAGAACTAAAAACTGGAATCATGTGATTACTTCAATAGATGCAGAAAAGGCTTTTGATAAAATCCAACATTACTTCATGTTCAAAACCCTTAAAAATCTAGACATTGAAGGAAGATACCTCAAAATAAGAAGAGCCCTCTATGACAAGCCCACAACCAACATCATACAGAATCAGCAAAAGCTGGAAGCATTCCCCTTGAGAGCTGGAACAAAACAAGGATGCCCATTTTCACCATTCCTGTTCAACACAGTTCTGAGAGTCCTAGCCAGAGCAATCAGGCAAGAGAAAGAAATAAAAGGCACCTAAATAAGAAGAGATTAAGTAAAACTATCTTTGTGTGCAGAAGATATGATTTTATACATAGAAAACTTTTTGTGAAATAGAGTTTGAAGAAAACTACTTTAATCGGATAGAGGGGATTTATTTAAAAAGAAAAACTTAAAAGCTTAATGATAAGTGACACTTAATGGTTGAATACTGAATACTTTCCCTTAAGTTTCAAATAAGGGCAAATATATCTGCTTTCTTCATTTTTGTGGAACATTATGCTCAATGTCCTACCTCAGGCAATAGGGAGAAAAAAGGCACACAAACTGGTAGATACTAAATAACCAGTAGAACTAATAAGTGAATTTAGCGAAATCATGAAATTCATGTTCAGTATACAAAACTAAATTATATTTTTATATACTAGCAACTAACAGAAAAATGAAATAAAGAACATAATAATGGCATCAAAAACATGTCATAGTAACAAAAATAATGAAATACATATGTATCAGTTATCATTATCTATGGCTATGTAAAAAAATTGTCCCAAAATTCAGTGGCTTGAAACAAGAAACATTTATTATCTCAGTTTCTGTGAGTCAAGAATATGAGTATAAATTAACTGAGTGCCTCTGATTGTTTCTCTCATAAACTTGCATTTAAGCATAAATTGGGAGTGCAGCCATCAAAAGGCTCAACTGGGGCTAGAGAATCTGCTTCTAAGCTGATTGTGTGGTTTTGTTGACAAGATTCAGTTGTTTGAAGGCAGTGAACTAAGGGCTTTAGTTTCTTGTTGACTCTTGGCCAGAAGCCTCTTTGTCATTTGGACCTCTCCATAGGTCAGCTTGCAATATGGTAGCTGGCTTCTCTCAGAATGAATAAGCAAGAGAGCTAGAGAGAGCAAACCCTCAAGACGGAAGCCACGGTCTTTTTATAACCTAATTTTGAAAGTCACTTCCCATTACTTCTTCATATTCTATTTATTAGAAGTGAGTCAATACGTCTAGTCCATATTTAAGATGACTAAGTAATATCAACAGTATATTTCAGCGTGTGAGATACACACACACACACACACACACACACACTCAAGAGTAAACTGAGTACCACTTTACATTTTCTCTTCCAGAGTGAGATGTATGCAGTATGTGGCCATGTTTGCTAACATACTCATTCTTGACAAAGTTCTGATATTATAAAATGTATATGGTTAATATTTGGGCTTGTGACCTGACTTCTAAGAGCTGCTTCTATCACAGAGTTAGGCATTCAATTAACAAAGTAGGAATTTGAGCACAACCTTGTCCACAAGACATTTTAAATATCCACTTAGCCTGGTGTAGTTAGTAGGTGGATGGACGCCACTTTCATAAGTTGAGCTTGAGCTCACTACTCAATTGTGCAGCTTAATATGCTGAGTAGGGACACTCCCCTATGGGTTGTCTTTATATCACCATCTTTCTAAGCCCAGAGATGTCATAAGTGACAAGAAAAATGATAAGATTGAGAAATGGGTGTCACTGCTTCATTTGGAGCACGTTATTAACTATGGTTGAAAGATCAAATAAAATAGTTTTATATTTCAACACAAATTGCTATAAGCAGTCCTTGATGTTTTTTTGATGGTATCAGCTGGAAAGCCTCAAATCTAAGAGGGCTTTCCACCCTAGATATAAAATAGATGTTGCCTATTGCTGTGCTTATAAATGAAAAAGGAAGTTGAGGACACTTTTGCAAATGCCAGAATGTAAGATTCATTCAGTGTGCTCCCTGGGCCTCTAAAGCATGCGTTGACAGGATTTGCTTATTTTCTAAAATTAGCTTCATTCAATATTTATTATTCTCCTTTTCCTCTCTGAGAATGAACTCTGTATAAAATAAGCTTCTGCCTATTTGCATTTATCCTCCAAACCCAATCTAACAGGATGTTTTCATTTTAAAAACAAGAGGGGAAAAGACCAGAGTTTTCAGGAGAAAACTGGAGGAAAATGGGGAAGAAACCTCAGAAAGCAGCTATTCTCAGCAGCTTCCTGGTTAACAACCTTGGTGCTGCCTCTAGTCTCTGTCTGTATTCTTCTGCATTTAACCTTCAGATTGTAAGCCTTTTTGGCAAGCTTTTCTTCTGCTTTTTAAGCTCTTTTCCTGAAACTTTCTATGAAGGGCTATGGCACCATTAATGCTGCTGAATATCTTTAAACTCTTAGCACAGGCAAGTGTGTAGCTTAAGGCCACCACTGGTGAGGAAACCAAGTGTCCTCTGTGCCTTTTTTCTTTCTGTGAAGTAATTTAAGGACATCTAAAAAATTAGATTTTAAAAAGTTATCATCTTGGTACAACACTGTGTGCATATACACTTGGAAGCTTAAAAAGGTGTTTTGTCTGGAACTTAGAAGCAGCTCTAAATCTAGTAGGGCAGACTTTCTAACATACCTAGTTTTATTTATTGGCTTTGCTGGAGTATGATAGGAAAATGACGACTCTTACTCAGCTCTGGTATTGCTCATAACTTACCAAGAGGCTAATACTAAACTTGGAAAATCGTTTAAGTACATTTTATCAAGAAGTCTGGGTTTTGTTTTTTTAATATAGTTTTTAATGGATATCTCAAAACTGAAGGAAACTTTAAAGGTTTTTTAATGGTGCAGGTGAAGGTGCCAGTTGCTATTTGGTACCACACTCTACAAAAGCTTAATTACTTTACTTGATGCTGGTTGCTAAGCAGCGATTGTACAGAACATAAGCCTACTGGGTGCCTTTACAAGCCAGAGGCTGATGCTGCACTCTTGATGTCATGTGAGGAAATAATGCACATGCTCTAACTGCTCACCAGGAAATAAACCCAGAAACAGAAAATGAAGAACAAAAAGGTTGCTTGAAATAAAATATAATCAACATGACCGTATTTTGAAACATTTCAGGAAGGTTGCTTCTTGTCAAACTTGCCTGGCAGAGTTAGTTCAAAACTTGTATTTAATAAATGAACACCTGACTTACAAAAAAAAAAGATGACTAAGTATCAAGAGATGGATACCTCTGAGAGCCAAGTTAGAGGCTTCTTTCCAAAATATGCAAGACTCGTGCACTGAAAACAACATGGCATTGTTGAGACACATTTTTAAAAACCTATGTAAAATATATATTCCAATATGGATTTGAAGACTTGGAATTATTAGGATGTCACTATACTCATTGCAATTCCAATCCCAGAAGATTTTAGAAATAGATACCCAAAATCTAAACTCCATATAGAAATACAGAAAACTGAGGATAGCCCTAATAATTTTGAAAAGGAAGAACGAAATTTAAGGACTTATACTATCTGATATCAGGACTTATTATAAAAATACAGTAATTCAGTAGCATGCTGGCATAAGAATAAAAAAAGATGGAGTATAATAAGGAATTCAAAAAAGACTCACATATATGGTGAATTGGTTTTTGACACAGATTCTGAAACAGTTCAATGAGAGAAAAAATATTTTTTTCAATAAATGGTGCTGAACTACTGGATTCACTTAGAAAAAAAAAAAGAAAAACTCTATTTTTACCTCACACCATACCTAAAACTGATTTGAGATGGACCATAGACTTAAATATAAAATCAAAAACTGTAAAATTTTTTGAAGAAAATACAATGGTAACCCAATTTTTTTAAAAACGTACAACATATTTGAACAGACACTTCTTCAAAAAGAAAGATGTGTACTAATATGCATGTTAGAAGTATTCAACATTACTACTCTAAGGAAATGCAAATTAAAATCACAGTGAGACATGTCATATGCTATTTAATTTATACGAAGATTTTAGAATTGGCAATTCTTATCTACAGAAGTAGAAATCAAAATACTAGCTGCCTCTCATTGGTGAATGACTTATTAGGAAGGAGCATTAGAGAAATTTTGGGGATGTGAGATATTTTGCATCTTGATAGGATTGAGAGTTATATGAGTAGATATACACTGTCAAAACTGACAAAATGGTACTTGAGTACATTTCAATGTATGTACATTATACCTCAGATTTCCTTATTACCAATGCTTGGGCTGCACCCTTGACGAATTAGATCAGAATATTCAGTGGGGACCTCCTGAGTACCAATATCTTAAAGTTTCCCTTATGATTCTAATGTGCAACTTTGGGAGCCTCTAGTGTGGTTTCATGCTCTATCCCTAATTCCATCTGTGGATACAGAACAGAAGACTAGCTAGGGTGAAACATAAATTCTGGAAGTTGGAATTCCATAAATCCCCAAAAATGTGTAGCCTCAGATTGAAAAGTGTTAGTTCATTTGTCTATCAAGACTGACTTGAGATACAAGTAGATAAAGATATCAAGTGGCACCAAAGACATTTATTACTCCTTCTTCCTGACAATGAAAGGGTACCAGTGAGGCAAAGTGTGAGGTGGAGAAAACATATCAAGGGCCTTGAGTTGTTCTCCTTTCCCAGGTGAGGAGAATTGTTTGATGCAGATATGCTGGTAATGTTGAATAGAGAACGGTGTGGCCATGCACAGCCAGGTTTGTATAGTGGATAAGGATTGATAAAGTATAAGTGTATTCTCAGCTACCAGGAAGTGCAACAGTGGAATTCAAAGATAAATATTCCTTCCCAATGTCTGTATAAGTATTGATTTACTTGTCAAAACTTGTGTCCTAATTTCGGTTTGGTAACAAAACATGGATGAATTACATGCAGGAAGATAGAGAATACCCAGAGTGCTTTCATCTTAGATTAATTCCTCCCCTGCCATGAGCATCTATTAACACAGTACAACCTAGCTTAATTTATATTGGAAAATAGCTTAATTTATATTGGTAAATATAGGCTATATTATATGAAATTGTCATGAATACTTACTTTGTATTTTTTTCAATTCTAGATATTATTTCATGGAGTGTTAGTATGCCTAATAACCCTTGTTGTCAATAGATTTATTTTGCCAGTGGCAGTTACTATACTAGGTAAGCCCTAACAGTTACTATTCCTGTGGAGAGAAAAACATTCTAAGTATGGTAAAGAAGTGCTAATAATAAAGAAAGAATCCATATACAGCCTAGGCAACATAGTGAGACCCCCGTCTCTACAAAAAGTTTAAAAATTAGCCAGGCGTGGCAGTGCACACCTGTTGTCCTAGCTATTTGGAAGGCTGATTGGGGAGGATCGCTGGAACCCAGGAGGCTGATGCTGCAGTGAGGCAAGATCACACCACTGCACTCCACCCTGGGCAAGAGAGCAAGACCCTGTCTCAAAAAAAAAAAAAAAGAATCCATATAAATTATATAAATACAAGTCAGTGGTGCCTAATTTTTTTCAAATTTTATTTGACATGTGCAGGTTGGTTACATGGGTATATTGTGTGATGCTGAGGTTTGAGGTACAGATCTCATCACCAAGGTAGTGACCACAGTACCCAAAAGGTAGCTTTTCAACTCACATCCCATTTCTCTTTCCCCACTCTAGTACTCCCTGGTATCCACTATTCCCATCTCTATGTTCATGTGTACTCAATGTTTAGTTCCCACAAAAGATATTGGATTTTCTGCTCCTGCATTAATTCACTTAGGATAGTGGTCTCTGGCTTTATCCATGTTGCGGCAAAGGGCATAATCTTGTTCTTTTTTATGGCTGCATAGTATTCAATGGTGTATCTGTACCACATTTTCTTTATCCATTCCACCATTGATGGACACTTAGGTTGATTCCATCTCTTTGCTATTGTGAATAATGCTGTGATGAACATACAAGTGAATGTATCTTTTTTGTAGAATGATATATTTTCCTTTGGCTATCTTGGGGTGGCTAGCTTGAATGGTAGTTCTGTTTATAGTTATTTGAGAAATCTCCAAACTGCTTTCCACAGTGGCTGAACTAATTTACATTCTCCTTTCTCACCAACAGTATATGTGTTCCCTTTTCCCCACAGCCTTGCCAGCATCTGTTATTTTTTGACTTTTTAATAATAACCATTCTAACTGGTGTGAGATGGTATCTCATTGTGATTTTGATTTGCATTTCTTTTATGATTAGTGATGATGAGCATTTTTTCATGTGTTTGTTGGCCACTTGTATGCCTTCTTTTGAGAAGTGTCTGTTCATGTTCTTTGCCCATTAAGACTTTTTTTTCGTTTTAATTTTTGTGGATACATAGTAGTTGTATATATTTATGGGGTGCATGAGATATTTTGATACGGGTATAGAATGTGTAATAATCAATTAGGGTAAATGGAGTATCCATCACCTCAGGTGTTTATCCTTTGTGTTACAAACAATCCAATTGTGCTCTTTTAGTTATTTTTAAATGCACAATTAATTATTCTTGACTATAGTCACCCTATCGTGCTATCAAATGCCAGATCTTTTTCATTCTTTCTATTTTTTGAATGCATTAACCACCCAAATTTCCCCTTACCTCCCCACTACTCTTCACAGGCTCTGGTTAATCATCATTCTACTCTCTATCTCCATAAGTTTAATTGTTTTAATTTTTAGCTCCCACAAATAAGTGAGAACATGCAAAGTTTTTCTTTCTGTGCCTGGCTTATTTCACTTAACATGACCTCCAGTTCCATCCATGCTGTTGCAAATGACAGGATCTCATTCTTTTTAATAGCTTAATGGTATGCCATTGTGTATATGTATATTTTCTTTATCCATTCATCTGTTGATGGACACTTAACCTTTGCCAATTTTTAAATGGGATTGTTTTTTGCCTGTTGCTTTAAGTTCCTTGTAGATTCTGGATATAAGACCTTTGTTAGATGTATAGTTTGCTAATCTATTCTCCCATTTTATAGGTTGTCTGTTTACTCTATTAATAGTTTCTTTTGCTTTGCAGAAACTCTCTAGTTTAATTAGGTGTTGCTTGTCAATTTTTGTTTTGTTACAATTTTTTTGGGGACTTAGCCAAAAATTATTTCTCAAGGCTGGTGTGGAAACATTTATTTCCTGGGTTTTCTTCTAGGACTTTTATAATTGAGGTCTTACATTTAAATATTTAATCCATCTTGAGTAAATTTTTGTATATAGTGAAAGGTAGAGGTCCAGTTTCATTGTTCTGCATACAGCTAGCCAGTTATCGCAGCACCATTTACTGAATAGGGAATCCATCCCCCATTGTCTGTTTTTGTCAGCTTTGTCAAACATCAGATGACTGTAAGCATGCAGCTTTTCTTCTGGGTTCTCTATTCTGTCCCATTGAGCTATGTATCTGTTTTTGTACCAATACCATGTTATTTTGGTTACTGTAGACTAGTAGTATAGTTTGAAGTCAAGTAGTGTGATGCTTCTGGCTTCGTTCTGTTTGCTTAGGATTGCATTGGCTATTTGGGCTCTCTTTTGGTTCTATGTAAATTTTAGAACTGTTTTTCTCTAATCCTGTGAAAAATGACATTAGTAGTTCAATAGAAATTGTGTTGAATCTGCATATTGCTTTGGATAATGTGGCCATTTTAATGATATTGATTCTTTCAATCCATGAGCATGGAATGTTTTTCCATTTATTTGTGTCATCTCTGATTACTTTCACAGTGTTTTATAGTTCGCCTTGTAGAGATCTTTCACCTCCTTCGTTAGCTCTATTCCTAGATATTTCTCTTTTTTTGTGGCTATTTTCTTCTTTTTTATTTTTAAAATGTTTGTTGGTACATAGTAGGTGTATATGTTTGTGGGGTACCCGAGATGTTTTGGTACAGGCATGCAAAGTGAAATAAGCACATCATAGGGAATAGGATATCCATCCCTTCAGGCATTTACCCTTTGAATTACAAATAATTCAATTGCTCTTTAAATTATTCTTAAAATGTAAAACTTTAAAAATGTTTAAAATTTAAAATATGACTCTTTAAATTATTCTTAAAATGTAAAGGTATTATTGACTATAGTCACCTTATTGTGTTGTCAAATAGTAAGTCTTATTTATTCTTTCTATATTTTTGTGCCTGTTAACCATCCCCACCTGCCCCCATCCCCCCACCACCTTTCTCAGTCTCTGTTAACCATCATTCTACCCTCTATGTCCATGAGTTAAATTGTTTTTATTTTTAGATCCCACAAATAAGTGAGAATATGTGATGTTTGTCTTTCTGTGTGTGGCTTATTTCACTTAACGTAATGATCTTCAGAAAACACAACAGGTGCTAAATTTCTTAGGAAGCTAGAAACTGGATGTATTCTAGAACAAAAAGATAGCTCAAGAGATTGGAATCTTAAAAGATAATGCAGATAATTTATCATATGTGCTTAACTGGCTCATGAGGTTATGGAAGCTAAGTCCCAAAGTATGCATTCCAAAGGCCTGAGAACCAAGAGCCAATGGTACAAGTTCCAGCTAAAGTCTGAAGGTAGGAGAAGACTGAAGTCCCTGCTCAAAGACCATAAGGCAGAGACAACAAATTCTCTCTTGTTCAGACTTTTGTTTTATTGAGGCCTCCAACAGATTGGATGAGGCCCACCCACATTGGGAAAGACAATGTACTTTACTCAGTCTACCAATTTAAATGTCACCCTCATCCAAAAACACTCACAGACACACCCAGAATGTTTAACTGAATATATGGGCACCCTGTGGCCCAGTTAAGTTGACAAATGAAACTAACCATTATACCTCTGTTTCTTTGTTTCCTCATATATCAAACTGGGAAAAAGGACTCACCTCAAAAGGTGGCCAAATAACCAAAAACTTAATGCATGAAAAGTGCTGAAATGCACTTTTGCAGAATATAGTAAGCACTCAATAAACATTAGCTATTACTATTACATGCCTCACCTTTTGTGAGAAGAAATATGAAAGCAGAAAATGTTTAACTCTTTAGTATTCCCATTATTAAACAGTTTATGTTGAAATTTTATTTAAAGATTAGTGACAATAAGTTAAAAACAAAAGTAAGCTTTCTAACCCATATCAAAATTGTGGTGTTTCTACTATTTATCAAATGTGTGTTTGTATCAAAGGTCTTCGTGATGCCACATCAACAAAATATAAATCGGTTTGTTGCACATTTCAACACTTTCAAGAGCTAACCAAGTCTGCAGCCTCTGCCCTTAAATTTGACAAAGATCTTGCTAATGCTGATTGGAACATGATTGAGAAAGCAATTACACTTGAAAACCCATACATGGTAAGCAAGTAATATCTTTTTTATTGCTTTAATGCAGATTTGATTATACTGAAGTATAAATCAGATCATAAATATTAATTCACAAGTTTTAATATTTGTAATTGATAGAGAAGTCATGTTAATAACTCTATTTAACAAAGTAGTAAGGGGGAGTGTTAAGGAACTTCATGATCACTGTGGGGCAAAGTAGAAGTCATAACCCCTTTGAATATATATGTTTAAAATATATGTTTTGGGGGCATGGTTCCAAGATGGCCAAATAGGAACAGCTCCAGTGTACAGCTCCCAGCATGAGTGATGCAGAAGACGGGTGATTTCTGCATTTCCAACTGAGGTACCAGGTTCATCTCACTGGGGCTTGTCAGACAGTGGATGCAGGACAGTGGGTGCAGTGCACCCAGTGTGAGTTGAACCAGGGCGAGGCATCGCCTCACGCAGGAAGCGCAAGGGGTCAGGGAATTCCGTTTCGTAGCCAAGCAAAGCTGTGACAGATGGCACCTCGAAAATTGGGTCACTCCCACCCTAATACTGTGCTTTTCCAATGGTCTTAGCAAACAGCACACCAGGAGATTATATCCCGCACCTGGCTCGGAGGGTCCCACACCCACGGAGCTAGCTCATTGCTAGCATAGCAGTCTGAGATCAAACTGCAAGGTGGCAGTGAGGCTGGGGAGGGGCGCCTACCATTGCTGAGGCTTGAGTAAGTAAACAAAGCCACCAGGAAGCTCGAACTGGGTGGAGCCCACTGCAGCTCAAGGAGGCCTGCCTGCCTCTGTAGACTCCACCTCTGGGGGCAGGGCATAGCTGAACAAAAGGCAGCAGAAACCTCTGCAGGCTTAAATGTCCCTATCTGACAGCTTTGAAGAGAGTAGTGTTTCTCCCAGCATGGAGTTTGAGATCTGAGAACAGACAGACTGCCTCCTCAAGTGGGTCCCTGACCCCTGAATAGCCTAACCGGGAGGCACCCCCCAGTAGGGGCAGACTGACCCCTCACATGGCCGGGTACCCCTCTGAGAGGAAACCTCCAGAGGAACAATCAGACAGCAACATTGCCTGTTCAGCAATATTCGCTGTTCTGCAGCCTCTGCTGCTGATACCCAGGCAAACAGGGTCTGGAGTGGACCTCCAGCAAACTCCAGCAGACTTGCAGCTGAGGGTCCTGCCTGTTAGAAGGAAAAACAACAAACACAAAGGACATCCACACCAAAACCCCATCTGTACATCACCATCATCAAAGACCAAAGGTAGATAAAACCACAAAGATGGGGAAAAAACAGAACAGAAAAACTGAAAATTCTAAAAATCAGAGCACCTCTCCTCCTCCAAAGGAACGCAGCTCCTCACCAGCAACAGAAAAAAGCTGGACAGAGAATGAATATGACGAGTTGAGAGAAGAAGGCTTCAGATGATCAAACATCTCCAAGCTAAAGGAGGAAGTTCGAACCCATCGCAGAGAAGTTAAAAAACTTGAAAAAAGATTAGACGAATGGCTAACTAGAATAACCATTGCAGAGAAGTCCTTAAAGGACCTGATGGAGCTGAAAACCATGGCACGAGAACTACGTGACGAATGCACAAGCTTCAGTAGCCGATTCAATCAACTGGAAGAAAGGGTATCAGTGATGGAAGATCAAATGAATGAAATGAAGTGAGAAGAGAAGTTTAGAGAAAACAGAATAAAAAGAAATGAACAAAGTCTCCAAGAAATATGGGACTATGTGAAAAGACCAAATCTACGTCTGATTGGTATACCTGAAAGTGACGAGGAGAATGGAACCAAGTTGGAAAACACTCTGCAGGATATTATCTAGGAGAACTTCCTCAATCTAGCAAGGCAGGCCAACATTCAAATTCAGGAAATACAGAGAATGCCACAAAGATACTTCTCGAGAAGAGCAACTCCAAGACACATAATTGTCAGATTCACCGAAGTTGAAATGAAAGAAAAAATGTTAAGGGCAGCCAGAGAGAAAAGTTGGGTTACCCACAAAGGGAAGACCATCAGACTAACAGCTGATCTCACGGCAGAAATTCTACAAGCCAGAACAGAGTGGGGGCCAATATTCAACATTCTCAGAGAAAAGAATTTTCAACCCAGAATTTGATATCCAGCCAAACTAAGCTTCATAAGCAAAGGAGAAATAAAATCCTTTACAGACAAGCAAATGCTGAGAGATTTTGTCACCACCAGGCCTGCCCTACAAGAGCTCCTGAAGGAAGCACTAAACCTGGAAAGGAACAACCGGTACCAGCCACTGCAGAAACATGCCAAATTGTAAAGACCATCGATGCTAGGAAGAAACTGCATCAACTAACGAGCAAAATAACCAGCTAACATCATAATGACAGGATCAAATTCACACATAACAATATTAACCTTAAATGTAAATGGGCTAAATGCTCCAATTAAAAGACACAGACTGGCAAATTGGATGAAAAGTCAAGACCCATCAGTGTGCTGTATTCAGGAAACCCATCTCACGTGCACATAGGCTCAAAATAAAGGGATGGAGGAAGATCTACCAAGCAAACAGAAAACAAAAAAGGCAGGAGTTACAATCCTTGTCTCTGATAAAACAGGCTTTAAACCAACGAAGATCAAAAGAGACAAAGAAGGCCATTACATAATGGTAAAGGGATCAGTTCAACAAAAAGAGCTAACTCTCCTAAATATATATGCACCCAATACAGGAGCACCTAGATTCATAAAGCAACTCCTTAGAGACCTACAAAGAGACTTAGACTCCCACACAATAATAATGGGAGAAATTAACACCCCACTGTCAACATTAGACAGATCAATGAGACAGAAAGTTAACAAGGATATCCAGGAAATGAGCTCAGCTCTGCACCAAGCGGACCTAACAGACATCTACAGAACTCTCCACCCCAAACCAACAGAATATACATTCTTCTCAGCACCACACTGCACTTATTCCAAAACTGACCACATAGTTGGAAGTAAAGCACTCCTCAGCAAATGTAAAAGAAGAGAAATCACAACAATCTCTCAGACCACAGTGCAATCAAACTAGAACTCAGGATTAAGAAACTCACTCAAAATCGCTCAACTACATGGAAACTAAACAACCTGCTCCTGAATGACTACTGGGTACATAACAAAATGAAGGCAGAAATAAAGATGTTCTTTGAAACCAATGAGAACAAAGACACAACATACCAGGATCTCTGGGACACATTCAAAGCAGTGTGTAGAGGGAAATTTATGGCACTAAATGCCCACAAGAGAAAGCAGGAAAGATCTAAAATTGACACCCTAACATCACAATGAAAAGAACTAGAGAAGCAAAAGCAAACACATTCAAAAGCTAGCAGAAGGCAAGAAATAACTAAGATCAGAGCAGAACTGAAGGAAATAGAGACATAAAATCCCTTCAAAAAATCAATGAATCCAGGAGCTGGTTTTTTGAAAAGATCAACCAAATTGATAGACCACCAGCAAGACTAATAAAGAAGAAAAGAGAGAAGAACCAAATAGATGCAATAAAAAATGATAAAGGGGATGTCACCACCACTCCCACAGAAATACAAACTACCATCAGAGAATACCATAAACACCTCTACACAAATAAACTAGAAAATCTAGAAGAAATGGATAAATTCCTCGACACATGCACCCTCCCAAGACTAAACCAGGAAGAAGTTAAATCTCTTAATAGACCAATAACAGGCTCTGAAATGGAAGCAATAATTAATAGCTTACCAACCAAAAAAAGTCCAGGACCAGATGGATTCACAGCCGAATTCTACCAGAGGTACAAGGAGGAGCTGGTACCATTCCTTCTGAAACTATTCCAATCAATAGAAAAAGAGAGAATCCTCCCTAACTCATTTTATGAGGCCAGCATCATCCTGATACCAAAGCCTGGCAGAGACACAACAAAAAACAAGAATTTTAGACCAATATTCCTGATGAACATTGATGCAAAAATCCTCAATAAAATACTGGCAAACCAAATCCAGTGGCACATCAAAAAGCTTATCCACCATGATCAAGTGGGCTTCATCCCTGGGATGCAAGTCTGGTTCAACATACACAAATCAATAAATGTAATCCAGCATATAAACAGAACCAAAGGCAAAAACCACATGATTACCTCAATAGATGCAGAAAAGGCCTTTGACAAAATGCAACAGCCCTTCATGCTAAAAACTCTTAATAGTATTGATGGGACGTATTTCAAAATAATAAGAGCTATCTATGACAAACCCACAGCCAATATCATACTGAATGGGCAAAAACTGGAAGCATTCCCTTTGAAAACTGGCACAAGACAGAGATGCCCTCTCTCACCACTCCTATTCAACATAGTGTTGGAAGGTCTGGCCAGGGCAATCAGGCAGGAGAAGGAAATAAAGGGTAGTCAATTAGGAAAAGAGGAAGTCAAATTGTCCCTGTTTGCAGATGACATGATTGTATATTTAGAAAACCCCATCGTCTCAGCCCAAAATCTCCTTAAGCTCATAAGCAACTTCAGCAAAGTCTCAGGATACAAAATCAATGTGCAAAAATCACAAGCATTCTTATACACCAATAACAAACAAACAGAGGGCCAAATCATGAGTGAACTCCCATTCACAATTGCTTCAAAGAGAATAAAATACCCAGGAATCCAACTTACAAGGGATGTGAAGGACCTCTTCAAGAACTACAAACCACTGCTCAACGAAATAAAAGAGGATACAAACAAATGGAAGAACATTCCATGCTCATGGATAGGAAGAATCAATATCGTGAAAATGGCCATACTGCCCAAGGTAATTTATAGATTCAATGCCATCCCCATCAAGCTACCAATGACTTTCTTCACAGAATTGGAAAAATCTACTTTGAAGTTCATGTGGAACCAAAAAAGAGCCCACATTGCTAAGTCAAACATAAGCCAAAAGAACAAAGCTGGAGGCATCATGCTACCTGACTTCAACCTATACTACAAGGCTACACTAACCAAAACAGCATGGTACTTGTACCAAAACAGAGATCTAGACAATGGAACAGAACAGAGTCCTCAGAAATAATACCACACATCTACAACTATCTGATCTTTGACAAACTTGACAAAAACAAGAAATGGAGAAAGGATTCCCTATTTAACAAACGGTGCTGGGAAAACTGGCTAGCCATATGTAGAAAGCTGAAACTGGATACCTTCCTTATGCCTTACACAAAAATTAATTCAAGATGGATTAAAGACTTAAATGTTAGACCTAAAACCATAAGAACCCTAGAAGGAAACCTAGGCAATACCATTCAGGACATAGGCATGGGCAAGGACTTCATGTCTAAAACACCAAAAGCAATGGCAACAAAAGCCAAAATTGACAAATGGGATCTAATTAAACTAAAGAGCTTCTGCACAGCAAAAGAAACTACCATCAGAGTGAACAGGCAGCCTACAGAATAGGAGAAAATTTTTGCAATCTACGCATCTGACAAAGGGCTAATATCCAGAATCTACAATGAACTCAAAGAGATTTACAAGTAAAAACAACCCCATCAAAAAGTGGGCAAATGATATGAACAGACACTTCTCAAAAGAAGACATTTATGCAGCCAACAGATACATGAAAAAATGCTCATCATTACTGGTCATCAGAGAAATGCAAATCAAAACCACAACGAGATACCATCTCATACCACTTAGGATGGCGATCATTAAAAAGTCAGGAAACAACAGGTGCTGGAGAGGGATGTGGAGAAATAGGAGCACTTTTACACTGTTGGTGGGACTCTAAACTAGTTCAACCATTGTGGAAGACAGTGCGGCAATTCCTCAGGGATCTAGAACTAGAAATACCATTTGACCCAGCCATCCCATTACTGGGTATATACCCAAAGGATTATAAAACATGCTGCTATAAAGACACATGCACACGTATGTTTACTGTGGCACTATTCACAATAGCAAAGACTTGGAACCAACCCAAATGTCCAACAATGATAGACTGGATTAAGAAAACGTGGCACATATACACCATGGAATACTATGCAGCCATAAAAAATGATGAGTTCATGTCCTTTGTAGGGACATGGATGAAGCTGGAAACCATCATTCTCAGCCAACTATCACAAGCACAAAAAACCAAACACTGCATGTTCTCACTCATAGGTGGGAATTGA
Organism: Homo sapiens; assembly: GCF_000001405.40. Lineage (NCBI taxonomy): Eukaryota > Metazoa > Chordata > Mammalia > Primates > Hominidae > Homo > Homo sapiens. The sequence goes on along the minus strand of NW_019805492.1, from coordinate 126,435 downwards.
ACAATGAGAACACATGGACACAGGAAGGGTAACATCACACACTGGGGACTGCTGTGGGGTGGGGGTTGGGGGAGGGATAGCATTACGAGAGATACCTAATGTAAATGACGAGTTAATGGGTGCAGCACACCAACATGGCACATGTATACATATGTAACTAACTTGCACATTGTGCACATGTACCCTAGAACTTAAAGTATAATGAAAAAAAGAATCAAGAAATACCAAAAATTTGAAAATAAAATATATGTTTTATGTGTATGTTTAAAATATATATGTTTAAATTCAAAAGAGGAGGCTGTGTATTGGAGCTCCCTTTAAAAGACATCATAGGTCAGCACAGTGGCTCATGCCTGTAATCTTAACACTTTGGGAAGCCAAGGCAGGTGAATTGCTTGAGCCAAGCAGTTTGAGACGAACCTGGCAACATGCCAAAACCATGTGTCTATAAAATATACAAAAAATTAGTTGGGTGGTGGTGTGCATCTGTAGTCCCCGCTACTCGGGAGACTGAGGTAGGAAGATCACTCAAGCCTGGGAGGTTGAGGCTGTGGTGAACCGTGATTGTGCCACTGCACTCCAGCCTGGGCAGCAAAGAGATACCCTTTCTTAAAAAAAAAAAAAATATAATATATATATATATATATGTGTGTGTGTGTGTGTGTGTGTGTATGAAAGTGAACCTTAGAAAATGGCTAGTTTTTGACCAAATTGGGAGGGGTCAGGGGTCTTTGTTTATTTATTTAGGCTATTGTGTATCTAAGCATTTGCTAGACCTTAATTTATGGTTAAAAATATTTTCAATATAAAATAGAATTCAAAGCCAAAGTTTAGCTGTGGGAGATGTCACCTTCTGCTTCTGAGATATGCTTTAAGATATCTGCAGTCAGACTCATTCTTTTAAGAACACTCAGCACACTAATCAGTCATGGTTTCCCTAAAGGGAAATAATAAAAGTTGTCCTGGGGTCTTCACAGCTGCTGCACTTTTCCGTGTCCTACATCATGTCCAGTTTTCAATGGTTTTTACAATGTTTTTGTTTTTGTTTTTTTTGCAAAACACAATATGAGGGGCCAACTTCTGGGAGTGCTTAGGTGAGATAATTAGTCTCTATGAAGTAGAATTCTGAAAAAATCCATTTCATATCCACTGAACCAGTGCTTAAAGCTCCAGATAGGAATTTAGAACTGACACTTGTGCCTGCAGGAATACTGCCAGGATTTCTGGATGGAACAAGTACCATGTCATATCCAAAGATTTCTCTAGTAGCTTCCAATACCTGATTGTGAACTTTTGCTGACTTGTCTGCATCAGAATTATCCAGATAGTTTACTCAAAATATTGATTGAGTTTTCACCTACTCTCTGAAGATTTTTATGCAGGTGGTCTGAGCAGGGATCCAGGAATATTTTAAGTCCACTACCCAGCTAATTCTAATGCAGAAGCCAGTGTTGGGGCCACCACTCTGGTACTTGATCTGTTTTAGAAGGCAGAGGATCAAATGACTACATTCTCCTTTTTGTGATGCAAACATGAGGGATATTATAGTATTAAAGATAGAACACCAACCTTGGAATCAGAAAATCTGGCTTTATAGCCTAGCTTTCTCACTTAATAGCTTTGTAATTTTGAGCATATCATCAATTTTCTCTAAGCTTCAGTTTCTCATCTGTAAATTATTCATACTCCCATTTCCTTTACGTGTGTTCACTTTCTATTTTACATTAAGTATCATTTTAAAGCAGTGGTTGTCAAGCTTTAGCTGCAGCAAAATTTTCAAATGGGGTTTTAGAAACACAGATTGACGCCCACTCCTCCAATTATGATTCACTAGGTCTAAGGTGGGATCTGAGAATGCACGTTTCTAACAATTCCCAGGTGATTCTGATGCTGCTGGGAGACCACACTTTGAAAACTGCTAGTGTAAAGCATGATCATATATGTGATAGCTTTTTAAACTGTTAATAATGCCGTGTAAAAGTAAAGATATGATATAACTCCTCCCCGCAAAACTGACAATTATTTTACCTTCTATAACTGAGCAAATGATTAGGACATTTGAGCAAATGATGAGGATCTGAACATTTTTCTTATCTACCAGATTTGCTACCATTTTTCAATGCAAACTGGTACAAAAATTGCTTGTGGATTTTGCTAAACAATATGTTAATATTCATGTATTTTTTGTTCTTTTATTTATGTTTTATTTAGTTGAACGAAGAAGAAACAACAGAACATCAGAAGGTGAAATGTCCACACTGTAACAAGGAAATAGATGAGATCTTTAACACTGAAGCAATGGAGCTGGCCAACAGGCGTCTCTTGTCAGCACAAATAGTACTGTATTATTCTCTTTTGAAATTATGTTTGGCCAAAAATTATGTTGAAAAATTCCTCCTTTATAAAGACATCTTGATCATGCTCACTTAATAGATTGTTTACAAAGGCAAAGGGAAGTTTGACATTGTCTTAGGAATCTGCTTGATTGGAAAGAAAAAGAAAGAGAGAGAGGAAAGAAAGAAAAAGAAAGAAAGAGAAAGAAAGAAAGAAAGGGAGAAAAAGAGAGAGAGAGAGACGAAAGACAGAGAAAGAAGGAAAGAAAGAAATTCACTCACATTAACTTAAGTAAAGAGTGATTTATTTATGAAGAATTGGGAATTTGACAGATCCCAATTGTAGAAATTGCAACTGGGGTTAAACTTCAGATGTGTTAGGCAATCAGTTCTGTGATATTGCCCATCTCTGGATCCAAGCCAGTTTTTCATGTAATGATACAGCCAAATCCTCTAATAGCTGACTGAAGAGAGTATTATGTTTTCATTCAAATATTAGCTAAAAATTAGAGAAATGCTGTAGCACAGCAGCATACAAACTGTTGGAAATTGCTAATAGGCTAGTTTTCATTTTCTCTCCAGGTTGAAATAATCAAGATCTATTTGCCATGAATTGTCCTCTTAGGGTGTTCATATTGGCCCTTCCTCACTGCCTGTGAAGCTGTTGAACACTTCTCAGCTATTCCAGCCATGTAGGATTCCAATCACTCTACCTGCTCAGTCTAACTAGGGAAGTGGGAGATCTGTAGGGTATGATTGTTCTCTCTTCAACAGTAGTCTTAGCAGACAAGTTGAGTTTCAAAGGCAACTATTTTAAGGACATAAATAACTTCTTTAAGCAATTGAGGCCGTGCCATGAGGATGAAGCTAATGCCCACATGGTGCTTTATTCCACCAGCAGATTTTCCACTTGTCCTACCAAATTAGGTATTGCTATCCACAGAGTAATGACTAAGTTAACACAGAGGTAGCAAATATTCCTGCTAGCTCTTCCATGTTTCCTAAATCTGATGCTCCAAGGCCATGGTTCTGTAATGTAAATGGACAAGCTAGTCATCCTGGGTTCCCCTGGGAACTGCCTATGAACAGCTTCTGAGGCAAAAACAAAGGCAGGCTTTCTAAATATACCGAGTCAGCAGGAATGAGAGGAAAAAATTGTCAGTCAATATAAAACAATGGAACAGGATAGAGAAACATCTAGACCAGGATTTCAGAGTAGAAGAGGATCTGGAAACAATGAAGTAGGGCTAGTCCTGAGATAACCATAGGTGAACCTGAACAGCCAACCATGGCTTCTTTAAGCCACAACAATTGCTTCCTTAGAAAGCACAAAGGAGTATTTTACAAACATTTGTCTGTAACTGTCAAAAATGAGGTAGACTAACCAAAAGTATATATAATCTGCTATATAATTTAGGAAATATAAATTGCATTTCTATCTTTTCCTGCAGAAATTCCCCAAATCAAAAATTTTTCAATGAGCTAGAAAATAAAAACAGAATATTAAACACTAAATTGTGGAAATATCAACTAACAGCACATTTTGATCCTTCTCATTGCTCACACAACTTTTCTGGATAGTTTTGTTTCTCTATCTAAGTAATGTACTTGCTCACCAATTTTTGTAATATCCCTTCTAGCTGGACTCATGATCAAAGAATCTGCCACTGCCACCACCACCACCTTATTCCCCACCCCTATTGCCACTAATTCTTTATACACACACACATACACGCACACAATTTTCTCAGCCTTAAAAAAATCTATACACCCTTTTGCTTGATAATCTCTTTTTGTACATTGTGTTATTAAATTTTACCTTTTCAAACTAATATTTTATTCTAATATGAAAGGTAAATTTAGGGTCAAGAGGGTAATTTTTATTGCTGTTGTTTTAATTGACATATAATTATACATATTTATGAGGCACAATGTAATATTCTAATACAAGTATACATGTGTCATGATCAAATAAGGGTGATAAGCATATAGATCACTTCAAACCTTTATTGTTTCTTTCGGTTGAGAATGTTCAAAATCTTGTCTTCTAACTATATGAAAAAATACAATAGATTAGTGTTTACTATAATCACCCTGCAGTGCTGTAGAACACTAGAATTTATTCTTCCTATCTAACTGCAACTTTGTATCTGTTAACCAACCTATTCCTGCTAGCTCCCCTGTCCCCCTACCCTTCCCAGCCTCTTGGAGCCACTATTCTACTCTACTTCTATGAGGTCAACTTTTATAGCTTCCATATATGAGTGAGAACAAGCAGTATTTCTTTTTCTGTGCCTGACTTCTTTCACTTAACATAATGTCTTCTAGTCTTATCCATGTTGCCACAAATGAAAGCATTTTATTCATTTTTATGGCTCAATAGTATTCTGTTGTGTAAATATACGACATTTTCTGTATCCATTCATCTATTGATGGACACTTAGTTGATTGTTTATCTTGGCTATTGTGAATTGTGCTGCAATAAACATTCCCCATATATAAACATTGTATTCTAGCCAGGGAAAGATAATATCTCATTATGGTTTTGACTTTCATTTCCCTATTCACTAGTGATGTTAAATTTTTTTATGTGCTTGTTGACCGTTTGTGTCTTTGAGAAATGTCTATTCAGATCCTTTGCTCATTTTTAAATCATACTATTTGTTTGTTTGTTTTTTGCTGTTGGGTGGTTTGAGTTCTTTGTCTATTCTGGATATTAATGCCTTAGTAGAAGAATAGTTTGCAAATATTTCTTTTTGTTCTGCAGGTTGCCTCATTATTCTATTGATTGCTTCCTTTGCTGTGCAGTAGTATTTTAGTTTGATATAATCTCATATGTCTATTTTTCCTTTTGTTTCCTGTGCTTTTGAGACTGTAGCCATGAAATCCTTGCCCAGTCCAATGACTTGAAGTGTTTCTCCTCCGTTTTCTTCTAGTGGTTTCATAGTTGTGAGTCTTTAATCTATTTTGAGTTTATTTTCATATAAAGGAGAGACAAGGGTTTAGTTTCATTCATCTGCATATGACTATTAATCCCAACACTATTTATTGAAGAGACTGTTCTTTCCCCAGTGTACGTTCCTCATGGCTTTGTCGAAAATCAGTTGGCTATAAATAGGTAATATATTCCTGGGTTTTCTATTCTGTTCTCTTGGTCTGTGTGCCTGTTTTTATGCAAGTACTATACTGTGTTGGTTGCTATAGCTTGTTGGTTGTAGTGTATTTTGAACTAGGGTATTATAATGTCTCCAGCTTTGTTCCTTGTGCTCAAAATTGCTTTGGCTACTTGAGGTCTTTTGAGGTTCCATACAAATTTTAGGAATGTTTTCTCTATCACTGGTATTTTGCTAGGGATTGCGTTGAATCCACAGGATTCTTAGGGAGTATGGTCATTTTAACAAGATTTGTTCTTCCAATATATGAACATGGGATGTCTTCCCATTTTTTGTGTTCTCTTCAATTCCTTCATTAGTCTTTTATAGTTTTCATTGTAGAGGTCTTTCATTTTCATGGTTAAATGTATTCTTATGTATTTTTGGTAGCTATTGTAAATGGGATTTATGCTTTGATTTCTTTTCACATAGTTAGCTGTTAGTCTGTAGAAATGCTACTAATTTTGTTTGTTTGTTAATATTGTATCCTGCAACTTCATTAAATTGGTTTAACAGTTCTAGGAGTTGTTTTGTGGAGTCTTTAGCTTTCCTAAATATAAGATTTTAACTTGTCCTCATTCCGTATGATTTTGGCTGTGGATTTGTCATATATGGTTTTATTGTATTTAGGTACATTCCTTGTATATCTACTTTATTGGGAGTTTTTATCATGAAACAATGCTGAATTTTATCAAATGTTTTTTGCGTCTATTCAGATGATCAAATGGCTTTGGTCTTTCTGTTAATGTGATGTCTTACGTGTGTTGATTTGTGTATATTTAAATATCCTTGCATTCCTGGGATAAATCCCACTTGATCATAGTGTATAATCTTTTTGATGTGCTGTTAGACTTTGTTTGCTAGTATTTTGTTGAGGATTTTTGCATCTGTGTTCATGAGGGATATTAGCCTATAGTTTTCTTTTTTTGTTGTGTTGTTTGCTGTTGGTATTAGGGTAATGCTAGCCTCATAAAATGAGTTTGGAAGAATTCCTTCCCTTTCAAAAATGTTTTTTTCTTGGGAGACTTTATATTACTGCTGCAATCTTGTAAGTCTTCATTGGTCTATTCGGACTTCCTATGTCTTCCTGGCTCAATCTCAGTAGGTTTATGTGTCCAGGAATTTATCCATTCCCCCCAGGTTTTCCAATTTGTTGGAGTATAGTTGTTCATAATAGTCTGTAATGATAGCTTGAATTTCTGTGGTCTCAGTTGTTGTGTCTCGTTTTTCACTTCTGATTTAATTTATTTGTATCTTCTCTCCTTATTTTCTTAGTCTAATGGTTTGTTAATTTTTTCTTATTTAAAAAACAACATTTTGTTTTTCTGATCTTTTATATTATTTTTGGTGTCAATTTCACTTATTTTAGTTCTGATTTTTATTACTTCTTTCCTTGACTTAATTTTGGGTTTGGTTTGTTCTTACTTTTTTAGTTCCTTAAGGTGCATAATTAAGTTGTTTTTTGAACTTTTGTGTGTGGGGGGATGGGGGGGGATGGAGTCTTACTCTATCGCCCAGGCTGGATTGCAGTGGTGCAATCTTGGCTCACTGCAAACTCTACCTCCTGGATTCAAGCAATTCTCCTACATCAGCCTCCTGAGTAGCTGTGATTAAAGGTGCTTGCCACCACACCTGGCTAATTTTTGTAATTTTAGTAGATATGGGGTTTCACCATGTTGGCCAGGCTGGTCTCAAACTCCTGACCTCAAGTGATCTGCACACCTCAGCCTCCGAAAGTGCTGGGATTACAGGCATAAGCCACCACACCTGGCCCTCTGTCTATTTTTTTGATGTAAAAGTTTATTACTATAAATTTCCCTCTTAGTGCAGCTTTTGCTATATCCCATAGGTTTTGATATGTTGTGTTTCTACTTTTGTTTCAAAATAAAGAATTACCTTCTTAATTTTTTTTCTTGATCTATCAGTGGTTGAGGAACATGATTAATTTCCATGTGGTTGTACAGTTTCCAATGTTCTTCTTGTTACTGATTTCCAGTTTTACTCCATTGTGGTCAGAAAAGATACTTGATATGATTTTAATTTTTTAAAAATTTGGGGGGCTTGTTTTGTGGCCTACCATATGCTCTATCCTGGAGAATGATCTGTGTGCTGATGAGAAGAACATGTATTCTGCTGTTCTTGAATGAAATGTTCTGTCTATAGTGCAGTTTAAATCCAAAGTTTCTTTGTTGATTTTCTGTGTAGATAGTCCTTCCAATGCTATGACTGGGGTTTTAAAGACCCAACTATTATCGTATTGGAGTCTTTCTCTCCCTTCAGATCTAATAATTTTTGCCTTATGTGTCTGAGTGCTCTGGTTTTTGGTATTTATATGTCCTTTTGCTGATTTGATCCCTTTATCATTATATAGTAAACTTCTTTGTTTCTCTTACAGTGTTTTACTTAAAGTCTATTTTATCAGTTATAAGTATAGCTATATAACTACTCCTGATCATTTTTGGGTTCTGTTTGCCAGAAATATCTTTTTTCATCCCTTCACTTTCAGTCTGTGGGCGTCTTTACAGGTGAAGTGAGTTTTTAATAGGCATAGGCAGTGTGTAGTTGGGTCTTATATTTTAATCAATTCAGCCAGTCTGTATCTTTTAAGTGGAAATTTTAATTAGTTTACATTCAGGGATATTATTGAAAGGTGTCATGTGTTTTTTTTTTTGGTTGGTGTGTATTTCCTTTTGTTTGTTTATCTTTGAAGATTGGTGTTTTTCTGTAATAATAAGGTTTGATTCCTTTTTCTTTAAGATTTGTGTATCTGCTCTACCATTGGGTTTTATATGTTTTTACAATCTTAGTTATTGTCCTTTTGCTTCCAGATATTGGACTTTTAAGCATTTCTTGTGAGTCCAGTCTAGTGATGGTGAATTCTCTCAGGTTTTACTTGTCAGGGAAACACTTGATTTCTGAAGGATAGCTTTTCTGGATATAGTATTGTTGGTTGAAAGTTTTTTTTGTCTTTCATCACTTCAACCATATTATCTTATTCTTTTCTGGCCTATAAAGTTTCTGCTGAGAAATATGCTGATATTCTAATGGAGATTCCTTTATATGTGACTTGACACTTTTTCTATTTTTAAAATTCTCTCTGTCTTTGACTTTTGACAGTTTGACTACAATGTGCCTCAGAGAAGAATTTTTTAGGTTGAATCTTTTGGGGGATATTTGACCTTCCTGGATCTAGATGTCTATATCTTTTCAAAAACTTGGAAGTTTTCTGTTATTACTTTATTAAATATGTTTTCTATGCCTTTTCCCATCTCTTCTCCTTCTTAAATTCCCATAATGATAACATTTGTTTGTGTAATGATGTCCCATGGGTCCCATGAGCTCTCTTGGGTTCTTTGGCTCGCTCTTTCTATCTATCTATCTTTCTTTCTTTCTCTCTTTCTCTCTTTTTTCTTTTCTTTCTTTCTTATCTATGTATCTTTCTCTTTTTCTCTTTTTTCTTTCTCTTTTGTCTGACATGGTTATTTGAAAATATCTGGCTTCAAGTTTAGAGATTCTTTTTTTCTGTTTGATCTAGTTTGTTATCAAAGCTCTCAATTGTATTTTTTCATTCATTAAATTAGCTCCAATATTTCTGTTCAGTTATTTTTTTATAATATCTATCTTTTTGTTGAGTTTCTTATTCACATAATGAATTGCTTTTCGATTTTATTGTGTCTGCTGAGTTTCCTTAATATCATTATTGTAAATTCCTTTTCAGGGAGTTTCTACATTTCCATTTCTTTGGGACCAGTTGCTGGTGAACTATTGTGTTCCTTTAACAGTGAGATATTTTATTGCTTTTTCATGTTTTTTTTGTATCCTTGCATTGATATCTTCAGATCTTGTGAAACAGTTGCCTCTTTCAATTTTGTATAGTGGCTTTCATGGGGAAAGACTCACCTGCAGATATGTCCCAGGGTGTCAGTTGGGTAGGGTGCATTAGCTTTTTACTGGGTGGATACAATAGCATAGCCTCAATACAGTTTCTTCAGCTACAGTCAATGTCATTGATGCCTGTGAGTGCCTCAGTTGCTTAGGCTGCAGAAGTTTGTGTGGCTGGTCTACCTATGTGGGGTCTGCTCCCTTGTGAATGAGGGAGCTGGCTATGCTACCATGGGTAGAGAACCAGGATCATCTGTGATTTGGGGGAAGTGCAGGGCTGGTCAGCCAGCATCTCTTCTCAGGTGCTACTACTTTGAGGACAGGGTTCCAGGCTGGTCTTCACTCTGGGGAAGCAAGGGGCTGGTTAGCCAGCAGCTCAGCTCACTTGACATTTTGCTGCTTCACTTGACATTTTGCTTTTTAGTATAGTTAATTTTTCTTGTAGGCAAATCTAGTAAACCTAGGTAATATTTTTTAGGCTAAAGACTGTGATTTATTTATCTGTATGTCTTCAGTGAATACCACAATGTGTAGTACATAGTAGGTGCTCAAATAATATTCACTCAATTAATTAATCTGAACCTTTTTGGAGTATTTGAGGTTTATTATAGGATCTAATAGCTGTTGTATTTTGATATCTCAATTCTTATCTTCTTTCACTCCTCTCTTGCTGTTTAATTTCTTTCTTTTTCTTTTCCTTTGCCTGCCTGCTTTCCTTTCTTTGTTTCTTTTGTATTGAGATATATCATTCTTTGTTTATTTGTTTGATAAGCTAACTTCAAAAAGTATCTAATTTTACCTTACAAATGATATAAATGTCAATAATACTCTATAACTTTCTAACTAAAATGTTAACTATAGATGTACTTTTAGAGTAGACACGTTTGCATTTCCCTTTTCTCAATCTACCTCTATGTTAATTTTTTAAAAAGCAAAAATTGCTTACTAGGCCTTGTACCCATGGCTGGAATATGAATTTAGTTCAATGTTCTGAAATCTCTTTGTGCTCTTCTTCTATTTTTTGAGACAAGATTTCTTTATGTTGCTCAGACTGGTCTCAAATTCCTGAGCTCAAAGAGTCCTCCTGCCTTAGTCTCCCAGAGTAGCTGGGGCTACAGAGGGACACCACCATGCCCTATTCCCCTGTTTTCACTTTCACACTTTAAGTTTTGTTTTAATGATTATGCTTATTATTCTTATAAACAAGAAGCCTTTTATAGATATGTTTTATTACATATTTCATTCTTTAATATATTGATATTATAATTTTCACTGATTATTTCCAACAATATTCCCAGTTGAGAATATCTTTGAAGTGTATTTTTCAATGGTTTGGCTAGTGTCTCTTGTCTACTTTTGTAGGAAAAAATTGATTAGTAAATGTTTAAAGATGTTTCAGACCTAAAAATAGGAGTTTTATCCAAGTAATGATACATTTATATGAAGACAAAGGAATGATTTTTATGCAATTAATAAATTAATATTTATGAAATTAAATACAGCTCCCTTTCTTGTTTGGATACCTGTAGAATTATTTCTATTTCCTTGTAACTTAAAAATGTTATGAGGCCATGTCTTTTAGTCACTTCCCAATTTTAATGTATTTCAGGAAAATATGGTGTACAAGAACCCACAAAATAAATGAAGGAAACTTCATTTTGAGTCTTGTTTTTGTTACTAATATGATATGTGACTAAGGACTTAATCTATTTAGTTTCCATTCTCCCAATCTATAAAAGAGGAAACTTATGGTGACTGAATAACCTCTTTTTCGCTTGTGATATTCTATGTTTTCTGCAGTGTATACTCCATGTACCTTTTTGATTTATTGCCTCAAATGTTTGGGTTCTACTATTATATTTTGATCATTGATTTTGTGCTATTGTGTCTTAATCAATAAATCTCGCTTTTCAAAGTAGATTGGATTTCTCTGCTCTGTTCTCTAGATCCTCATTTCACTTAATATCTTCCAAGTTCTTCTTAATTTTAGATATATTTTCATGCTCATCTTGATTTGTTGATTTGGTTTCTGCGTTCCCATTGGGAAAGATAATTTAACAGTTAACATCTTCTAGTATCTAATTGCTTTGGTATTTGTGTTGCTAAGCTTTCGCGAGATCCATATAATCTTCAGCTTCCTCATTTTTTCAAACTACAATTTTTATCTTGAGGATACTAAGAATATTTTGATTTAATATTGTTTTAAACATATTTTAATGATATTTAAGGAGAAGAGTGTACTCTATTGAATTCCTGTAATTATGGGAAAAGTTTTTTCATCCCACATCCTCAAGTGTCATTGCTATTTCTTTCTAGTATTTCCCCAAAACGAAGCAGTGTTTAATATTCAAAACTGATCATGCAGAGAGAATGCCTGCTGCAGAACCTAGAAATCTTTGGTCACATAATATATTTCAGTTAAGGAAGTTGGTCTACATAGTTTCTGAATAGTGTTCAGCATATGGATGCCAGGAACAGTGTCAGATACTGGTTTCCATATCATCAGACATAGTCCCTGAAGCTCAGTAGGCTCTTTATATATATGTATTGAATGAAGAAGTGACTGCATTCTGCCAAATAGTAGCAATCTGTTATTATAATACTCCTTATAAATTATAAAATATTCTATAAATAATTATATAAGTTACAAAGATAGAATCATTTTAATCCTTATCACAGATGAGGCAGCAGAGCCCTGTTGTGGAAATATTTGAGAAAATTCAATTAAATAAAGATGTATAGTAGGATTTTTTTTTACTGTAGGTTTTCTCAGAGCCTTTAATATTCATTATTAACTTTTGAGATGTGGATATAGCTTGCAGTAGTTCCCAAACTCATTTGCCAATAAGTTCCATTTATTTTTTGAAAACCTAATTCCATGTCTAGAAGAGCTCTAGTTTCCTTCAGAACCAGTGTGGCTCCACTCAAAGCCAAGACCTACCTTATCCAGTAATCTTATAATCTGAACTCCATAGAAATATTCTTTTTACAAACAGACTAGATTGATTGTTTTTACTTCTTTATCACACATTTTTCCCATCAAGATTGTAATAAGTTGTCATCGTTATTCATGCTATATAATGACTTGAATTAATATTTTTTTAGGCAAGCTACCAGAGACAATACAGGAATGAGATTCTGTCCCAGAGTGCTGTCCAGGTGTTGGTTGGTGCAGCAGAAAGTTTTGGTGAGAAGAAGGGAAAGTAAGTATATTCTCAAGAGATGGCTTCTATTCTAAGCCACAGCATTTAGGAAATTACCCAAGTGAGTTTTCTTGTTTTTGTCTGGTAACTTGGCTCCCTCTACTATTAATATTAATACTATAGTATTACAGCAGAGCTGTCTGCTCTATACCCCACCCTCAGGCCAAACTACCTATTTTCAGTTTCCCAAATTTGCTGCATTCATTCTTACCTCCGTGATTTTGAACAAGCTGTTCCTTCTGACTGAAACTTTCTTTTGTTCTTTGTCCCCCCCTGCCAAAAGTTAAGCTGTGGTAAAGAACTCTTCCTTTTAGACAATTTGAATGCCAGACTAAGTAAGGGTGAAGCCTTCCTTAATCCCTCCAGGCACATCTTCCCCAATACACAGGTAGTACTTCAACATCTTCTCTTAATACTCAGCATGCATTTGTAATCTTGTAGTGATTTCTTTAGATATAGGTCTCCAAAATAAGCAGTGGTTTCCTCAAAGTTGGTGTTTTGAGGGGTACCCTCAGATCATCCCCTGTGGAGGAATGCTGGATCTATGATTGGGCAAAGAGGGGGGTTAAACTGCAGTGCAACTGCAACAGTGTCCACCCAGACATACCTTCTAGCTCTAGACAACAGTCCTGAAGACACCAAAATTCCCTGCTTAAATTGTCCTAAGCTTATTTCCAGAGTCTATTTGGGCCTCTAGTCCTGGTCCATCATCTCATGAGCAAACCCGGCCTTTGGTGTGCATACCCCTAAACCTGAAGGATGTGCCAACCTTGTGTTAAGTCACATGTACAACCTTGTGGTACACTGAAGGATAAAGTTAGATGTTAGAAAAGAAGCAGCCAGAAATTAGGGCATATTTGCATTTCATTTCAAGTACAGACTTTCAAAGTAACTAAGAGTTTTCATTTTAAGCCTAGTCATACAAATCATTATGACATTATATGTGTCATGATAGGAAGATGAAATATATCTTATTTAAAATTTTGTTTCCTTGATTTATAATGCTTGAATATTTTCATCTATGGTACCAGGGTCTCTGTTTGTCCTTTTGATCCAGGCACTTCCAATGCTTTAGGTGACCTAGTAAAGTTGAGGGAGTTGAGAGGGCTGGGCAAATGTGATCAATTCAAAACAATACCGTGCATATTTTAAAGAAGAAAGGTGCACATTGTACAGTGGAAGTTTTTAATAAATGACACAATAAAAAGCATCATTAATATATTTTCCAGGAGATGTTAAAAATAGCAGGCCGGGCATAGTGGCTCATGCTTGTAATCCCAGCACTTTAGGAGGCCGAGGTGGGTGGATCACTTGAGGTCAGGAGTTCGAGACCAGCCTGACCAATATGGTGAAACCCTGTCTCTACTAAAAATACAAAAAAATTAGCCAGGCACGCTGGCATGCACCTGTAGTCCCAGCTACTCAGGAGGCTGAGATAGGAGAATTGCTTGAACCCCGAAGGCAGAGGTTGCAGTGAGCTGAGATTGTGCCACTGCACTCCAGCCTGGGGGACAGAGCAAGGCTCTGTCTCAAAAATAAAAATAAAAATAAAACAACATAGAGCAATTCAGCCCACTGCCTTGATTTTTTTCTCTTTAAATGTTCCCCAAAGGCAGAAGCAACATATGCCTATGAAGGCAAACTTTGGAATATATTACATTTTTTATGCATGCATGTAAGAGATATACATTGAAAACCAATATGTGCAAAGCTATATATTACCAATATATGCCAGTCACTGTAGGGAATATTAATATTAGCAAAATGGTATTCCAGCCCCTGGAGAACTTTCTATTGATGTGCTTATATTCAGTTCTTGCTTCTTTGCTGAGCTGATTTTACCATTTGCTAATTATTCCTATGAGTGCCTCATGTGTCAGGGTGACCTGTGGCAAGAAAAACAAGTCTAAGAAAAGAAAGAGTGGAGGGTTTAAACAGGAGCACCAGGACCTATGCTAAGTGCTTGTATAATTGCCTAAAAAATAATACTTTGAGCACATAGTTTCTTTTTATTGAGTGTCATACCAGGTACAGTTTTAAACACTTTACATGTATTAACCTATTTTACCTCAGAAGAATCTTATTAGATGCTGTTGTTATATTCACGATGCAGGTTAGGAAAATAAAACAAAGAGAAATTAAATAATTTATGCAAGGTCATTTGACTCATAAATTACAGAGTTGGGATTCAAAGCCAAGCTGCCTCACTATCCGGTTAAATAGATCATACTGTTTCCCTAAATCAGGTCTAAACAGTGAACATGTTGATGTAAAATAGGAGTTCAAGAGCCTGAATTACTCAGTAATTTGTGCTGCAAAGTGTCACACATAGATATCACAATAAGACTATATTAAATGCTTATTTTTTTGAGTCCAGGGAGCCCTCTCATTTATTATCTCTGTGGCAACACTTACCACGTTTTACTGCAATTGGTATTTATATGTTTCATCCCACTAGTCTGCTGCAGCCTTGAGGGCAGACCAGTATTTCTTTATGGTTTATCTTTGGCATTTAACAACAATAGCAGATGTTGAATAAATATTTTTTCAATTATAAATGAATCAAGTCATATACATATTCAACATTTTCCATTTATTTACCGCATATTATATTGAATATCAGATAATTGAATGACTTCATTCTTTTCAATTACGTTAGTATCCCTGTAGTAAAAAAAAAAATATATATACAAGTTTTAAAGTAAGAACATTATAATTCATAGAAAGGGCAAGGTTTACCTTTGAACTTGGGTTTCCAATGCCCTTCCATTAAGCCACATTATAAGGTAGGGCCTCACATCCAAGGGCAGAGCCTTACTCTCCTTCTGATCATGACGATGAAAGTATCTGGTCAGCAGCAGGTAAATTCCTTGAAAAGCCAAGGAGATTGGCTAAACAAGACATGATCATATACACGGATCTGAGCTGTCTCAATTAAAAAAAAAAAAAAAAACCTAGCAGAAAGCTACAGAAAACTTGGGACAAGTGCTACCAAAATGACATTGAGCTCTTATGACCAGTGACTTTTCTAAGTTACTATTTTAACTCATTTTTAGTCATTCTAAACCTTACTATCTGCTTTGAAGGTGAAGACAAAGAGATGGGAAGATGTGTGATATGAGTTGGATGCTTTATACATGCTTTCCCATTTAATTATCCCAGCCTAACATTGGTATTTTTATCCTTATTTTGTAGATTAGCAAGCAAGTTAATGAGGTAATTTGTCCATTGCCATACCAGACAATGGGGAATCTAACATGAAAACCCAGATGTCTGAATCCCAAATATTTGAAACATAGTATGTTTTCTATCCCTGAACCTTGAAATCTCTATTATTTTCAACCATGTATCTCCAATTTTTAATACTCTCTGTTTAACAAGTGAGCCTGACAATCTAACTTCATGAACCACGCCCATGAAAATGTCTTAATCCAACCATCATGGCACAAAATAGTCTTCCTGTTTTGTGCAAAATTAAACTTATGTACAACATTAAACTTCCAGTACAACATTAAACTTATCTCAAAATGTTTAAAGCATGTTTAAAGATTTCTCTCTTTTTCTAGATGTATGAGTCTTGATACAATAAAGAATTATTCTGAAAGCCAAAAAACAGTTACCTTTGCTAGAAAACTACTACTTAATTGGGTGTATAATACCAGAAAGGAAAAAGAGGGCCCATCAAAGTAAGTGCTTTTGAACCTTATAAGAAATGCTATTATATTCACTTGAAATTCCCTGTTTTTTCTTTTAAAATGGTATCTTGAATTTTTTGTTATTATACTATAAGTGCTAGGGTACATGTGCACAACGTGCAGGTTACATATGCATACATGTGACACGTTGGTGTGCTTCATTCATTAACTCGTCATTTACATTAGGTATATCTCCTAATGCTATCCTTCCCCCCTCCCCTCACCCCACAACAGGCCCCAGTGTGTGATGTTCCCCACCATGTGTCCAAGTGTTCTCATTGTTCAGTTCCCACCTATGAGTGAGAACATGTGGTGTTTGGTTTTTCGTCCTTGCAATAGTTTGCTGAGAATGATGGTTTCCAGCTTCATCCATGTCCCTACAAAGGACATGAACTCATCCCTTTTTATGGCTGCATAGTATTCCACGGTGTATATGTGACATATTTTCTTAATCCAGTCTATCATTGATGGACATTTGGGTTGGTTCCAAGTCTTTGCTATTGTGAATAGTGCCACAATAAACATATGTGTGCATGTGTCTTTATAGCAGCATGATTTATAATCCTTTGGGTATATACCCAGTAATGGGATGGCTGGGTCAAATGGTATTTCTAGTTCTAGATCCTTGAGGAATCGCCACACTGTCTTCCACAATGGTTGAACTCGGTTACAGCCCCACAAACAGTGTAAATGTGTTCCTATTTCTCCACATCCTCTCCAGCACCTGTTGTTTCCTGACTTTAATGATTGCCATTCTAACTGGTGTGAGATGGTATCTCATTGTGATTTTGATTTGCATTTCTCTGATGGCGAGTGATGATGAGCATTTTTTCATGTGTCTTTTGGCTGCATAAATGTCTTCTTTTGAGAAGTGTCTGTTCATATCATTTGCCCACTTTTTGATGGGGTTGTTTGTTTTTTTCTTGTAAATTTGTTTGAGTTCTTTATAGATTCTGGATATTAGCCCTTTGTCAGATGGGTATATTGCAAAAATTTTCTCCCATTCTGTAGGTTGCCTGTTCACTCTGATGGTAGTTTCTTTTGCTGTGCAGAAGCTCTTTAGTTTAATTAGATCCCATTTGTCAATTTTGGCTTTTGTTGCCATTGCTTTTGGTGTTTTAGTCCTGAAGTCCTTGCCCATGCCTATGTTCTGAATGGTATTGCCTAGGTTTTCTTCTAGGGTTTTTATGGTTTTAGGTCTAACATTTAAGTCTTTAATCCATCTTGAATTGATTTTTGTATAAGGTGTAAGGAAGGGATCCCATTTCAGCTTTCTACATATGGCTAGCCAGTTTTCCCAGCACCATTTATTAAATAGGGAATCCTTTCCCCATTTCTTGTTTTTCTCAGGTTTGTCAAAGATCAGATGGTTGTAGATGTGTGGTATTATTTCTGAGGGCTCTGTTCTGTTCCATTCGTCTATATCTCTGTTTTGGTACCAGTACCATGCTGTTTTGGTTACCACAGCCTTGTAGTATAGTTTGAAGTCAGGTAGCGTGATGCCTCCAGCTTTGTCCTTTTGGCTTATGATTGACTTAGCAATGTGGGCTCTTTTTTGGTTCCATATGAAGTTTAAAGTAGTTTTTTCCAATTCTGTGAAGAAAGTCATTGGTAGCTTGTTGGGGATAGTATTGAATCTATAAATTACCTTGGGCAGTATGACCATTTTAACAATATTGATTCTTCCTACCCCAGAGCATGGAATGTTCTTCCATTTGTTTGTATCCTCATTTATTTTGTTGAGCAGTGGTTTGTAGTTCTTCTTGAAGAGGTCCTTCACATCCCTTGTAAGTTGGATTCCTAGGTATTTCATTCTCTTTGAAGCAATTGTGAATGGGAGTTCACTCATGATTTGGCTGTTTGTCTGTTATTGGTGTATAAGAATGCTTGTGATTTTTGTACATTGATTTTTTATCCTGGGACTTTGCTGAAGTTGCTTATGAGCTTAAGGAGATTTTGGGCTGAGACGATGGGGTTTTCTAAATATACAATCATGTCATCTGCAAACAGGGACAATTTGACTTCCTCTTTTCCTAATTGACTACCCTTTATTTCCTTCTCCTGCCTGATTGCCCTGGCCAGAACTTCCAACACTATGTTGAATAGGAATGGTGAGAGAGGGCATCCCTGTCTTGTGCCAGTTTTCAAAGGGAATGCTTTCAGTTTTTGCCCATTCAGTATGATATTGGCTGTGGGTTTGTCATAAATAACTCTTATTATTTTGAGATACGTCCCATCAATACCTAATTTATTAAGAGTTTTTAGCATGAAGGGCTTTGAATTTTGTTGAAGGCCTTTTCTGCATCTATTGAGATAATCATGTGATTTTTGCCTTTGGTTCGTTTTATATGCTGGATTACATTTATTGATTTGTGTATGTTGAACCAGACTTGCATCCCAGGGATGAAGCCCACTTGATCATAGTAGATAAGCTTTTTGATGTGCTGCTGGATTCGGTTTGCCAGTATTTTATTGAGGATTTTTGCATCGATGTTCATCAGGAATATTGGTCTAAAATTCTCTTTTTTTGTTGTGTCTCTGCCAGGCTTTGATATCTGGATGATGCTGGCCTCATAAAATGAGTTAGGGAGGATTCCCTCTTTTTCTATTGATTGAAATAGTCTCCGAAGGAATGGTAGCAGCTCCTCCTTGTACCTCTGGTAGAATTCGGCTGTGAATCCATCTGGTCCTGGACTTCTTTTGGTTGGTAAGCTATTAATTGTTTCCTCAATTTCAGAGCCTGTTATTGGTCTATTCAGAGATTCAAATTCTTCCTGGTTTAGTCTTGGGAGGGTGTATTGTCCAGGAATTTATCCATTTCTTGTAGATTTTCTAGTTTATTTGTGTAGAGGTGTTTATAGTATTCTCTGAGGGTAGTTTGTATTTCTAGGGGATTGGTGGTGATATCCCCTTTATCATTTTTTATTGCATCTATTTGATTCTTTTGTCTTTTCCTCTTTATTAGTCTTGCTAGTGGTCTATCAATTTTGTTGATCTTTTCAAAAAAACCAGCTCCTGGATTCATTGATTTTTTGAACGGTTTTTCGTGTCTCTATCTCCTTCAGTTCTGCTCTGATCTTAGTTATTTCTTGCCTTCTGCTAGCTTTTGAATGTGTTTGCTCTTGCTTCTCTAGTTCTTTTAATTGTGATGTTAGGGTGTCAATTATAGATTTTTCCTGCTTTCTTTTGTGGGCATTTAGTGCTACAAATTTCCCTCTACACACTGCTTTAAATGTGTCCCAGAGATTCTGGTATGCTGTGTCTTTGTTCTTATTGGTTTCAAAGAACATCTTTATTTCTGCCTTCATTTTGTCATGTACCCAGTAGTCACTCAGCAGCTGGTTGTTCGGTTTCCATGTAGTTGAGCGATTTTGAGTGAGTTTCTTAATCCTGAGTTCTAATTTGATTGCACTGTGGTCTGAGAGACAGTTTGTTATAATTTCTGTTCTTTTACATTTGCTGAGGAGTGCTTTACTTCCAACTATGTGGTCAATTTTGGAATAAGTGTGATGTGGTGCTAATAAGAATGTATATTCTGTTGATTTGGGGTGGAGAGTTCTGTAGATGTCTATTAGGTGTGCTTGGTGCAGAGCTGAGTTCAATTCCTGGATATCCTTGTTAACTTTCTGTCTCGTTGTTCTGTCCAATGTTGACAGTGGGGTGTTAAAGTCTCCCATTATTATTGTGTGGGAGTCTTAAGTCTCTTTCTAGGTCTCTAAGAACTTGCTTTATGAATCTGGGTGCTCCTGTATTGGGTGCATATATATTTAGGATAGCTAGCTCTTCTTGTTGAATTGATCCCTTTACCATTATGTAATGGCCTTCTTTGTCTCTTTTGATCTTCGTTGGTTTAAAGTCTGTTTTATCAGAGACTAGGATTGCAACCTCTGCTGTTTTTTGCTTTCCATCTGCTTGGTAGATCTTCCTCCATCCCTTTATTTTGAGCCTATGTGTGTCTCTGTACATGAGATGGGTCCCCTGAATACAGAACACTGATGGGTCTTGACTCTTTATCCAACTTGCCCGTCTGTGTCTTTTAATTGGAGCATTTAGCCCATTTATATTTAAGGTTAATATTGTTATGTGTGGATTTGATCCTGTCATTATGATGTTAGCTGGTTATTTTGCCCATTAGTTGATGCAGTTTCTTCCTAGCATAGATGGTCTTTACAATTTGGCTTGTTTTTGCTGTGGCTGCTACCAGTTGTTCCTTTCCATGTTTAGTACTTCCTTCAGGAGCTCTTGTAGGGCAGGCCTGGTGGTGACAAAGTCTCTCAGCATTTGCTTTTCTGTAAAGGATTTTATTTCTCCTTCACTTATGAAGCTTAGTTTGGCTGGACATGAAATCCTGGGTTGAAAATTCTTTTCTTTAAGAATGTTGAATATTGGCCCCCATTGTCTTCTGCCTTGTAGAGTTTCTGCTGAGAGATCTGCTATTATTCTGATGGGCTTCCCTTTGTGGGTAACCTGACCTTTCTCTCTGGTTGCCTTTTACATTTTTTCCTTCATTTCAACTTTGGTGGATCTGACAATTATGTGTCTTGGGGTTGTTCTTCTTGAGGAGTATCTTTGTGGCATTCTCTGTATTTCCTGAATTTGAATGTTGGCCTGCCTTGCTAGGTTGGGGAATCTCTCCTGGATAATATCCTGCAGAGTGTTTTCCAACTTGATTCCATTCTCCCTGTCACTTTCAGGTATACCAATCGGATGTAGATTTGGTCTTTTCACATAGTCCCATATTTCTTGGAGGCTTTATTCATTTCTTTTTACTCTTTTTTCTCTAAACTTCTCTTCTTGCTTCATTTCATTTATTTGATCTTCAATCACTGATACCCTTTCTTCCAGTTGATCTAATTGGCTACTGAAGCTTGTGCATTCATCATGTAGTTCTTGTGCCATGGTTTTCACCTCCATCAGGTCCTTTAAGGACTTCTCTACACTGGTTATTCTAGTTAGCCATTTGTCTAATCTTTTTTCAAGGTTTATAGCTTCTTTGCCATGGGTTCGAACTTCCTCCTTTAGCTCGGAGAAGTTTGATCATCTGAAACCTTCTTCTCTCAACTCATCAAAGTCATTCTCCATCCGGCTTTGTTCTGTTGCTGGTGAGGAGCTATGTTCTTTTGGAGGGGGAGAGGTGCTCTGATTTTTGGAATTTTCAGCTTTTCTGCTCTGTTTTTTCCCCATCTTTGTGGTTTTATCTACTTTTGGTCTTTGATGATGGTGACGTACAGATGGGGTTTTGGTGTGGATGTCCTTTGTGTTTGTTACTTTTCCTTCTAACAGTCAGGACCCTCAGCTGCAGGTCTGTTGGAGTTTGCTGGAGGTCCACTCCAGACCCTGTTTGCCTGGGTATCAGCAGCAGAGGCTGCAGAACAGCGAATATTGCTGAACAGCAAATGTTGCTGCCTGATCATTCCTCCGGATGTTTCATCTCAGAGGGTTACTCGGCCTTGTGAGGTGTCAGTCTGCCCTTACTGGGGGGTGCCTCCCAATTAGGCTACTCGGGGGTCAGAGATCCACTTGAGGAGGCAGTCTGTCCGTTCTCAGATCTCAGACTCCGTGCTGGGAGAACCACTACTCTCTTCAAAGCTGTCAGGCAGGGACATTTAAGTCTGCAGAGGTTTCTGCTGCCTTTTGTTCGGCTATGCCCTGCCCCCAGAGGTGGAGTCTACAGAGGAAGGCAGGCCTCCTTGAGCTGCAGTGGGCTCCACCCAGCTTGAGCCTCCCGGCCACTTTATTTACCTACTCAAGCCTCAGCAATGGTGGGCGCCCCTCCCCCAGCCTTGCTGCTGCCTTGCAGTTCGATCTCAGACTGCTGTGCTAGCAATGAGTGAGGCTCCGTGGGCGTGGGACCCTCCGAGCCAGGTGCGGGATATAATCTCCTGGTGTGCCGTTTGCTAAGACCATTGGAAAAGTGCAGTATTAGGGTGGGAGTGACCCGATTTTCCAGATTTCATCTGTCACAGCTTCACTTGGCTAGGAAAGGGAATCCCCCGACCCCTTGCACTTCCCAGATGAGGCGATGCCTTGCCCTGCTTCGGTCATGCTCGGTGCACTGCACCCACTGTCCTGCACCCACTGTCCAACAAGCCCCAGTGAGATGAACCCGGTACCTCAGCTGGAAATGCAGAAATCACCTGTCTTCTGTGTCACTCATGTTGGGAGCTGTAGACTGGAGCTGTTCCTATTCGGCTATCTTGGAACTGCCCCCTATCCTGAATATTTTGCAAAATATTTTGAGGAATTTTACAATGAAATTTCTTTTTAAAAATTTTTGCATATTTTATTATCTGAAAAATGGCCTTATTTACAGTCATAGAAAATGCTCACAAACATACCTAAAGTAAGAAAACAAAAATAATCTGTATTAACAAATTCATTTTTTATACCTGTTACTAAATCAGCCTTCAAACTCACCACAAATTTTGGTACCACCATATATTGTTAGAGTTTTTATAAAAATCAAAGGAGATTATGGCATAATATAAAAGAAAAATGATCTGGCCAACATCCACTATAAACCTTAGCTGCATCCTTTTAATTTTTTATTTTTAAAAAAAATAAAGGGTTTTTTTCCTGTCTTTACAATTGATTTAAAGCTTTGAAGTGGGTGGTAGCCACCTCAGAGGAGACTGATGAGTGTCACAGGGCATAAATAGCTACAGAATGTTTATTAGAAATGTGGGGGTCAGCCACCACCCTAAATTTCTTATGTACATACATAAAGTTACTTAAAGAATAAAAAGGATAGGAATAGTATTCTCTTTTTAATTGAGGTAAATTTCATATACATAAGTTAACCATTAACCATTTTAAAGTGTATAATTTAGTGTTATTTATTAGTCCAAAAATAAACTGGGTATTCATTAAGCAGTCATTCCCCATTTTGCCTTTTTGCCCTGCTCCTGGAAAGCACCAGTCTGTTTTCTGTCCCTGTGAATTTACTTATTTCAAATGTTTCACATAAATGAAATCATCACTATGTAGCCTTGTGTTTCTCGCTTCTTTGACTTAGCCTAATGTTTTCATCCACATAATAGAATGTGTTAGTAGCATAAGGGTCATCCTCTTTGTAGCATGTATCAATATGTGATTCCTATTTAAGGTTAAATAACGTTCCATGGTATATATACCACATTTTATTTACCCATTCATCAGTTTATGGACATTTGAGTTGTTTCTGCCTTTTGGCTATTATGAATAGTGCTGCCATGAACATTCATGTGCAAGTTTTTATTTGAATACCTGCTTTCTACTCAAGGGCATATCCCAGGGGCAAAATTGCAGGACTGTGTGGTAATTCTATATTTAGTTTCTTGAGTAACCACCAAATTGTTTTCCACACTTGGTATACAATTTTGATATCAGGAAGTATAAGTCCTTCAACTTTCTTTTTCAAGATTGTTGTAACTAGTTGAGGTCCCTTAGAATTCCATATAAATTTTAGATTATCTTGCCTGTTTCTGCAAAATAGAGAAAAAGGTCAAGATTTTTATAGGATTTAATTTAATCTGTAGATTGCTTTGGGTAGCATTGTCATATTATCAATATTAAGCCTTCCAAACCATGAACATGGAATGTCTTACCTTTTATTTAAATCTTTAACTTATTTTGGTAATGTTTTGTTGTTTTGAGCACGCAAGTTTTAGGTTAACATTAATCCTAACTATTTTGTTGTTTTTGGTGCTATTTTAAATATAATTGTTTTCATAATTTCATTTTCAGATCAGTACTTTCTAGTGTATAGAAATACAACTGATTTTTATATATCGATTTTGTTTCCTGAAACTTTGCTATTTTGTTTATTAGCTCTAGTTGATTTTTGCACATTCTCTAGGATTTTCAATATATAGGATTATGTCATCCACAAATAGAGACCATTTTACTTCTTCCTTTTCAATTGGAATTTCTTTTTTTTCTTAGATTCAAGGGAAAGAAATATAGCTAGTGACAAAATGAATGAGATCAGTGACTGCAAATTTAACCATAAATTTAAGCAAAGGTAACCTCCAGTGCCATGCTTTGCCAAACATGGTTTTGCTGCTGGAAGAGATCAAGAAAAGCAGACTGGAGAGAGGACAGAGAGGTTATCACAAAGTTAACAAGGCTTAAACTCTGCAGCTCCCATCACAGAGTAACTGCCAGAGGCCTTGGAGGGCCCTGGCAATGTGAGCACAGACTATATATTACTGCACTCATAATTTCATCATATTTTTTTTTCAAATGGTATCCAAAATTGTAAAAGCTTCTGGGCTATGGCATAGATGTACCTTTGAGAATGAGAAAATGATCTGGTACTTACCCAGTCTTCAATCGGCAATTAATTAATCATTATCATGTGAATTTTAACAACAATAGTGTATTACTATACTACTTGAATAATTAAAATATTAAAGTAAATCTTTTTATCTACATTTCTACTCTCCATCATATTGAATATGGAAGCTATTTTTCAAAGCATATACATTAATTTAAATTTTGTGATAAAATTTGGATCCATATATTCCACCACCATGCATCCTAGGCTTTGATCCCAATTTTATACCTTGACAAGAGAAGATGCTCATGATACGTTGTTAAAAGGGAAAAATGCAGCTTACAGAAAAATGTGTCATATAACTTCTTTTATGTTTATGGATAATCATTTTATAAACATAAAAAGTTGGAACAATATTCAAACTAATAGTATTCATCTCTGAAAATAGGAATTATCAAAAGCTAGAAAGTATTCTCTTTATTTAAAAAAAATTCCAGTTTGAATTTCTCCTGTGTTATACCAAAAATATTTCCATTAAAAGTAAAAAGAAAAAGTGAATGAGATTTAAGGAGGGAGAGAAAGAAAAAGGAGAAACTAGACTCAAGACAGAGGAGGATCAGTGGAAGAAATTAAAAGGACAGTATCTGAAGTGGGATGCCAGAACGTGTTAGCTAGTGGTGGCTGCTTTCAGAATTATTAAAGAAGGCTCTGCAGCTGTTGATAAGTAGAACAGAAATGAGTATATATGAAAATCATTTAATGTAAACCTTTTATCAGATAAAACTGTCTTTTTGTTTTACAGATACTTCTTTTTTCGTATATGCCATACAATAGTATTTACTGAGGAATTTGAACATGTTGGATACCTTGTGATATTAATGAATATATTTCCCTTTATAATCTCTTGGATATCCCAGTTAAATGTAATCTACCACAGCGAATTAAAACACACTAACTACTGTTTTCTTACACTTTATATTCTAGAGGCACTACTTAAGGTAATCTAAAATTTATGTGTGTATGGAAGTGTTATATGTCTGACAGGGAGATTTCCTAGCCTTGTTTTTCAACACCAGCAACAGACAATTTTCTGAAGGAGTGTATGAATTTCTTCCTCACGTCTCCAAACTTTAATTTTTGAAGGTGATTTTTATAGTAACTCAATAGATAATATGCATACTTGAAGCACTGATTTTGTATTTCCAGAAATGAATTTTAAAATGGTGTGTGTCAAAGGGACACAAAGTGAGTTTAAAAGGTATTGGCAATATTCTCAGTCTTAGCAGGGTGGTGAGTACTTGAAGGTTCATTTTATTATTTTTATACTGGATAGATATTTTTATATCTCTCTAGTATGATAGAGGAATACACAGAGTACAATGGGAACAGACAGAAGGAGCTTCTTATGCAGAATAGTAGGGTCGGAGAAGGAAGGTATTCAAGGGAAAGCAATACTTGAGTTGAATTTTTAATAATGTCTAGGAGACAAAAAAGAGAATAACTACAAGTACATTGCATAATAAACAACAAGAACAAGGGAAAACATAGAAACAACACCATGACACATTAAGGAACACTACTTCCAATGACTGAAGCTCAGGAATGAATTGGTCAGAGTGGAGATTGGAGAGATGTTAAATATGTTTTCAGGATGTGGAAAATGAGGGAAGAGACATAGATGTGAATTAAATAATAAAGGGCAGGCCATGCTGTCTCATCTACTTTTGTGACATCAACTGTCATTCATAGTCTAATGACTCCCAAATTCATGTCTATAGCTCAGATTTTATCCAGAGCCGTAGATCATATAGGTAGCTGCTGACTATATCCCTCTGACAAAGTACTGTGCAAACATTACAAGCAGCATATTGAAAAGAAATTTGTCTTCTCTTATCCTACTATCCCTTCAGAATTTCAATGGAAACCCAATTTCCCAAGCTGAAATCTACAATCATCTTTGAAATCTCCCACTTTCTTAGCTATACTAGGTTTCAAGAAACCTTTTTTTGAAATATGCAGAAAGACTGACTGTATCAACTATCACAAAATAGTAGGAATTTTGACTATTTTCTCCCTTCGAATAGATGCTTCAGTATTTTAGCTATTTGATTTCAAATTAGTATGATCATTTACTAGTATAAATATATACTTTAACATGTCTAAATTCAAATTATTATTATTATTATACTTTAAGTTCTAGGGTACATGTGCACAACGTGCAGGTTTATTACATATGTAAACATGTGCCATGTTGGTTTGCTGCACCCATTAACTCGTCATTTACATTAGTTATTTCTCCTACTGCTTATCCCTCCCCCCAGCCCCCGACCCCACGACAGGATCCGGTGTGTGATGTTCCTTGCCCTGTGTCCAGGTGTTCTGATTGTTCACATCCCACCTACGAGTGAGAATATGTGGTGTTTGGTTTTCTGTCCTTGTGATAGTTTGCTCAGAATGATGGTTTCCAGCTTCATCCATGTCCCTACAAAGGACATGAACCCATCCTTTTTTATGGCTGCGTAGTATTCCATGGTGTATATGGGCCACATTTTCTTAATCCAGTCTATCATTGATGGACATTTGGGTTGGTTCCAAGTCTTTGCTATTGTGAATGGTGCCGCAATAGACATATGTGTGCATGTGTCTTTATAGTAACATGATTTATAATCCTTTAGGTATCTACCCAGTAATGGGATGGCTGGGTCAAATGGTATTTCTAGTTCTAGATCCTTGAGGAATTGCCACACTCTTCCACAATGGTTGAACTAGTTTCTACTCCCACCAACAGTGTAAAACTGTTCCTATGTCTCCACATCCTCTCCAGCACCTGTTGTTTCCTTTTTAATGATGGCCATTCTAACTGGTGTGAGATGTTATCTCACTGTGGTTTTGATTTGCATTTCTCTGATGACCAGTGATGATGAGCATTTTTTCATGCATCTATTGGCTGCATAAATGTCTTCTTTTGAGAAGTGTCTGTTCATGTCCTTTGCCCACTTTTTGATGGGGTTGTTTTTTTCTTGTAAATTTGTTTGAGTTCATTGTAGATTCTGGATATTAGCCCTTTGTCAGATGAGTAGGTTGCTAAAATTTTCTCCCATTTTGTAGGTTGCCTGTTCACTCTGATGGTAGTTTCTTTTGCTGTGCAGAAGCTCTTTAGTTTAATTAGATCCCATTTGTCAATTTTGGCTTTTGTTGCCATTGCTTTTGGTGTTTTAGACATGAAGTCCTTGCCCATGCCTATGTCCTGAATGGTAATGCCTAGGTTTTCTTCTAGGGTTTTATGGTTTTAGGTCTAATGTTTAAGTCTTTAATCCATCTTGAATTGATTTTTGTATAAGGTGTAAAGAAGGGATCCAGTTTCAGCTTTCTACATTTGGCTAGCCAGTTTTCCCAGCACCATTTATTAAATAGGGAATCCTTTCCCCATTGCTTGTTTTTCTCAGGTTTGTCAAAGATCAGATAGTTGTAGATATGCAGCATTATTTCTGAGGTCTCTGTTCTGTTCCATTGATCCATATCTCTGTTTTGGTACCAGTACCATGCTGTTTCCAGCTTTGTTCTTTTGGCTTAGGATTGACTTGGCGATGTGGGCTCTTTTTTGGTTCCATATGAACTTTAAAGTAGTTTTTTCCAATTCTGTGAAGAAAGTTGTTGGTAGCTTGATGGGGATGGCATTGAATCTATAAATTACCTTGGGCAGTATGGCCATTTTCACGATATTGATTCTTCCTACCCATGAGCATGGAATGTTCTTCCATTTGTTTGTATCCTCTTTTATTTCGTTGAGCAGTGGTTTGTAGTTCTCCTTGAAGAGGTCCTTCACGTCCCTTGTAAGTTGGATTCCCAGGTATTTTATTGTCTTTGAAGCAATTGTGAATGGGAGTTCACTCATGATTTGGCTCTCTGTTTGACTGTTATTGGTGTGTAAGAATGCTTGTGATTTTTGTACATTGATTTTGTATCCTGAGACTTTGCTGAAGTTGCTTATGAGCTTAAGGAGATTTTGGGCTGAGACGATGGGGTTTTCTAGATATACAATCATGTCATCTGCAAACAGGGACAAATTGACTTCCTTTTTTCCTAACTGAATACCCTTTATTTCCTTCTCCTGCCTGATTGCCCTGGCCAGAACTTCCAACACTATGTTGAATAGGAATGGTGAGAGAGGGCATCGAATTTTTTTGAGAAATTAAAAATAACTTATTCTGCGTTATCCCAGAATGAAATTACACAAGTGAATTTAGTGAAGAAAGCATAATCTTTTAATAAATATATTTTTAAATCTTGAACTACTTTAATAAAAACTTTGCCCACATGTGTCACAACAAACATAAACTAATTTTGTTTTGACTACTCAGAATCATCATTTTGGATATAAATTATAAAATAATAAAAAATGGATGCAACCCCCAGGATTTTTATGGCATTTAGGGCAACTTGTTTTAAATTAAAACACCCTGGCGTACTACATTTTTGTCTGAATTTGCCTTTTCATTGTCGCTACTTTTTACTGGTGTCATTATATACATTTGTTTGTTTTCATTATACCTGTCCTTTAAACCCAATCCTAAATTAATAGTTCTAGGAGTATTCCTTTATTACAAGATAAATTTGATGAACTTGTTTGTTTGATTTTGGTTTCCTGAGGATATTTCATACATGTGGAGTAGATAAGAGAAAAGCCTAACATGATGTTTAAATTATTGTGGAAAATGGTGTAGTAAAAGCAGAAACAAACATGATAATGTAATTTCCTTTTAAATCAACAGATAGCAGCAATGAGGAAGGACTTTTTTTCACATGCCTGGAACATATTCGAGTTAGCAATTACATTAATTGGCATCTTACATGTAATACTTATTGAAATAGACACCATTAAGTATATTTTTAATGAGACTGAAGTAATAGTCTTTATAAAAGTTGTTCAATTTTTTCGTATACTACGCATTTTCAAGGTAAAGAACCAGTAAATCGTGCAATTTCTAATTCCTACTGATTGTTTCATAAAACATAGAGTAAAATTAGTTTACTAGTTTTATGGTTAACATATTCTGTTGGGTTAATGTTTATATTTTAAATTTTAGCTTCCTTTGGCAAATTAAGTTTCATAACATTTCATATTACAAACATCCCAATTATATTAGGAATTTGTTTAGCATGTGAAAGTATAGACATACTCATCACAACTTTTCCTTTAAATAGACAGCACATGAGAAATTCTATATTAATGCAAGTGTAAGTTAACCTCCATGTAATGTTTATTTTTATAGATATTTGGGGAATAAAAGATGGAAGTTAACAAAACAACCATGCAAACTATTTATAGGGACAAAGAAAATATCCTACATTTATACAAATCAAGGAAAAAATACATATAGTATTATAGAAATATGGTTTCAAAAATAACCTTTGATTGTCTAATAACATGTTTCTATAACAAATATTATGGGTGGTTATTTTCTGTGTGATTATTTCAATGACATGAAACTCACTCCTCCACAAATAAGTATATATATGAATGCAGATATACTCTCTCTTTCCTATCTTTTTCACTATTCATACACAAACAAGATACATGCATATATAAGCACTGTGAGTGATACAGTTAAATAAAACATAGTTTGTATGGAGATAAAACTAATAGAATCTTTACATTTAGATCTTTCTTACACATGCAAGGAATAATTTAAAACATTTTTGCTACTGAGAGGCATAAATCAACTAGGTCAAAGAGTACAGAACCAGTAGTCTGCTTTTTCGGTATTCTAAGGGATCATAAGTAGTGCTAGAGTACAATTTACCTGAGGAAGGCGAGTCTAGTGTATTCCACTGATGAATTAATTCTGATAGGAAGGTATACAGAGCCTAACAAATAGTTCAGATGAAGAAACTAATAAAACAACTTAGAAAAGTTTGTTGATATATTCAGAAAACTCTGAACTATGGTCTTATGTTAAATCACAGGTCCTTGGAATATGAAGATGAATTAGATATTGTCTCTTCCCCTGGAAAGCTTATTGTAGAAGAAAAATCACGAGTAATCTAGATATTGAAATGTTATATGGTAGGATAAGTGCAAAACAGGAGTATGCACAGAATGAGAAAAGACTTCATTTATTAGGTGATACTTGAGCTGAATCTTGAAAGATGAGTGTAAACCCTTTGGAGATTAGTGGCAGGTAGTTGCAGGGTAGAGTATGGAGGTTGTGGAACATAGATAGAAAAACAAAGGGATCAATGAACTCTGCAGAAGCTAGGGGACTGCACAATGGTAGCTGATAACCTGGAGACTTCAACCCTCAGCAAAGAAACAGAGAGAAGTGAAGTTAATTTTGGGGTCTAACAGGCAGTATGGTTGTGGTGGTTTCTCACCTGACCAGACCATCAAGTAGGAGGTGTTATAGGAGATTTAGCATGCAAAAATGGCAGTAATTTAGTCATTTTATGACCTAAGCACAGAAGATTAATTGCATTGTTTTCCAAGAATTGAAACCAGTTGAAAATAGCATCCAATTCTCTATAAGGAAAATAAGTAAAGAATAAAGTCATAAATTTCACATAGGTACCCCCAAATTATTAGTTATAGGGAAATAGCTATAGTCATGAAGTTATAAAGATACCACTAAAAAAATAACAAAGAACCTTGACAGGTTATTGTAGTTACCTTTGAGGGCACTTAATTTCTTATTATTAACTATTTTGATTAAACTAATCAACATATCATAAAATGATATTTGTGCAATTTATATTAATGGAAGTCCTGTTTAATTCAGCTCATAGCACCAAAGTTGCTGCAAATAATAGATAAAAGAATGAGTCATCAGAAGACCTTTTGGTATGGAATACTAAAAGGCTATGTCCAAGGCGAAGCAGACATAATGACCATAATTGATCAGATTACAAGTTCTAAACAGATTAAACAGGTAAGAAAACCTTAAATCCTAAGAAAAGAGTTCACTCAGCCCTCAGTTGCCCTCATCCATCATTTTTTTCTGTTCATATATGCAGATGTCTTTGACTCCTGGTTTTCTAATTCATTTCTTTAAAAACTTAAACTAGGTTACATTTAAATTACTCAAATGCCTCCTTCTGAAATGAACTGTGCCATATTAGCAAGTTACAAGGCTCCTATAAGGCACACTTCTGTCTTTGTGGAGGCTATCACAAAACCCAAGTGCAGTGGTTAGCTTTCTCCCAATGCAAGCTCTAAGATCTGTCAGGCTATGGGTGTGTAAAATAGGAAGTACTGGAAGGTGAGAAGTGAAGGCAGGGTGGAGAAAACAGGGCTTCCTCATAATGCCCAAAAGCTTCTTTCATCTCTCTCTATCCTTGTTTTCTACACATTAAACAGTAAAGGAAATAAAAACAAGTGATTCAGCAAATAGAAAGAAGTAAAGAAAACAATAATTAAAATAGAGGGAAACCTAGTTTGATTTTGTCATTATGCAGATGAGAAAAAGGAGGCCAAGAGAGGTTAAATGATTGTGCCCAAAGTTCCATAGTGAGTAAGCAGGAAAGATAATTCTAAGGCCTAAATTCTAGATATTATTTTTACTTTCTAGATTGAGACAGATTAAAACCGATATGTGCCCATAAGTTTGTCAGCTATGTGGAATGCAATATTTACTTTTCAAGACGATTTAAAACATCTCAATGCTATATTTTATGTGCCCAAAACTTTGTCATTGAGAAACTGAACATTCAATATGTGGTAGAACACAAAAAGTAGTATCTTCCTCTCTTCACCTCCTGCAACTTTAAAACTATTTTCTTATGTTTTATTACCTTTTCTAACCACTGATATTTAGCACTTGAATTTGGAGACACACAGGAGAAAATATGAAAAGACTTGAG
This sequence comes from Homo sapiens, assembly GCF_000001405.40. Lineage (NCBI taxonomy): Eukaryota > Metazoa > Chordata > Mammalia > Primates > Hominidae > Homo > Homo sapiens. The sequence continues at coordinate 94,056 of NW_019805492.1, read as the reverse complement.
TCCCTAAAATATTGTCTTATTATCCCTAATTTCTACTTTCGTTCACCTTGGCCAAAATTTCTAATCCCTTAAGATTGCAAGCCATCCTGGAATCACAAATCTGGGGGCTCTCATAAAGCCGAATGGGAAAGTACCTACCTATGTTCATAAAACATAGACTAAAATCAGTTTACTAGTTTTATGGCTACAATTTTCTGTTGGGCTAATGTTTGTATCTTAAATTTTAGCTCCCTTTGACAAATTAAGTTTTATAACGTTTCATATTACAAACATCCAAATTATATTAGGAATTAATACCATGCCTGCACTTTTCAGAATCATGACTCACCTTCAGATGTCTCAAAATTGGGCTAGGTTATACCTCTTATCTTCTCTATTACTTTAGCTGAAGCAAAAAGTGCTGCGGCACAAAATTCAATTCGAACCCCTGAAAACCTCTTCATCCTACTTCTCTTAAAACTATTAACTTAGGTTAAAAATCCATCAGTTGCAAATGTAAGGACATTTTATAACAGTCTGTTTTTCCAATGGGGATAACATTTCTTTTGTTCCTTAGATGTTATTAAAGCAAGTGATAAGGAATATGGAACATGCTATAAAAGAGCTAGGTAAGTAGCTCTCATCCTATTTAGCATGACCATCTCTTATCATCACCACTTCAGAAAGGCAATGGTTTTCATAACTCGAGCTAATCTTTGAGGAAACCTACTCACTAACAATACTGAAGTGAGTAACCTCAACAATCAATGCAATCTTATTTTCTAGTTGAGATGGAAATAGTGTAATATCGCTTCACACTTTCTCTCTCTGCTTCATGCAACAATGAAGGCCTTTTGATTTCTCTTTAGACAAGTTGGCATGCTATGATTATGTATGTCATTATAGTCTTGTAAATTCCATTTTTTTCCAAACCAGAAATACATGTACCTTCCTGAGTGACACAAGAAAAGAAGTTACGTTTTTCCTCTACTTGCCACAGAGCTGCCATTTAAGGATTTAGGTCTTACATGAGTTGAAATTAGAATACAATCTTGCAGAATCCTGTTATATCTGCTGGGAGGCCCAGTGTCAAACATGGCAATAGCCTATTCTCTGAGTCATGCCAAGTCACGCTCCTGGTGCAGGACAAATCTTAAGAGTGGCACAGTCACAACCCTACAGTACAATGTTCATGTATAGGAGGAGAAGAAAATTTTATACCATGTGGTGAGCTACAAAAGGACACAGCAAACCTGGAGATGAGGTCATTTGAGAGATCTTCTATGACAGGTAGTTACCAAGCCAGATAAGAGGTTATGGTCAAGGAAAAGCCCAAATGTAGACTCTAAGATGAAATTTTCATGGACTTCAGGAATCCAGATGAAATGGGCAGAAGAGCATAAATGTATGAGTCATCTAGATGCACTGGCAGGTTGAGTGGACGATGACCTAAGACGAGTGAAAGGAAGTAATCAGAAGCCGTATTTAATCACAAAATCATCTGTAGTTAAAAATTCTGATTCACACAGAATAAGAAAATGAGTCATGAACTCCAGACATATAGCCCTGAGCAGCCTCCTAGTGTCCAGTGCAGGTAGAAAAGTATACCTGTTAATCCTAGAAACGAAGCTACCTATCCTTCTCCATGGACTTGGGCACAAGTATGAGTGCTGCCAAGAAAACATCCAGCAGAACTCTGGCACTACTAGTGAATTATGATTGATCATAGTGGCCCCTTCAGGAAGAGATACATTTCTCTGTGTTGAGGGCGGTATTCCATGGGTTTAGAACAGAAACTTAGCTTATTGTCCACATAAAACATTTAAAACAATGTTCTTATTTAATCTAAAAATATTTTGTTATTTTTTAGGCTACTTAGAGTATGATCACCCAGAAATTGCTGTCACTGTGAAAACAAAGGAAGAAATTAATGTTATGCTCAATATGGCTACAGAAATTCTTAAGGCTTTTGGCTTAAAAGGAATTATTAGTAAAACTGAAGGTGCTGGAATTAATAAGGTAAGGCAAAATATTTTCAAAGCAAGTATATTTACTTGATACATAATCATTCATGACCTTCAAGGCTACATTTGACTTCTAATACAGGCCATTTCTAAGATAGGAAAATCTCACTTAAAATAATTTTCTGAAGACAAACTCCTATGATAGACAGTTTCCTTCCTGCAGCCCAGGTGGTCAGCTTCTCTTTTTATTTTTGCTACAGGAACAGACCACCTGTTTCTCTGCTTTGCTGTCAAACCAAAAGTCTGATGAATCTATTCGTCATCCTAGATTACAGTGGGTATTATTATGTTTGGGGAATTATCTGTGACACTTAAATAACATTTTTCGTGTAAAACATGATTTATGAGAACACTCAATTGTAGGGTTAGTGTTGACTATATTTCCTTTTCCTAAGTTACATAAATGGTACTATGACATATAAAGGATAGAAAGAATCCCAATTCATTCTGTAAGTACAAACTTGACACCAAAATTGGAAATAGCATAAGAAAAAAAAAGCATAAACCTGTTATACTTGTAAATACACATACAAAATTTCTTAGCATAATAGTAGTGAACTGAATTGGGTAGCATATTAAACGTGTAATATACTTTGTCTCGGTAGGTTTTCTCTCCCCTAACAGCTATGTAACTCACATATTAAGAGATGAAGAAGAAAAACTATTTGATAAAATTTAACCCTCATTAAGAATGTTAATAAAAATCTTAGAAGACTAATAATAGAAGGAACCTCCCTAACTTGATAAATAGTATCTATTAAAAATTTGTAGCAAACTTTGTGTTAGATAGCAAAACATTAAGAGCATTCTTATTAAAGTTAGGAACAAAAGAAGAACGACAAGTGGCATTCCAAGCATTGAATAACTATGCTGGAGGTCTTATCCAAGTCAAGAAAAAAAAGAAAGAAAATTGAAAGATGAAAATTTTGGAAAGAGGAGAAAAGTGCTATTATTTGTTGACTGATTAAAATCTTAAGGAATTAGCTTAAAAGCAGTAGGATTAATAAAATAATTCAATAGAGTCCAGAAATAAAAGTAATATATAAAATTCTTCTCCAATGGAAAAATTTAGAAAAATATTATTATATTTACAATTACAATTAGAAACTCTAAATTCTTATCTATGAACCTAATATAAAATACATAACACCTATGTGGCAAGAACTAAAAAATTCCAACTGAATACATGTTTCTGTAGAGTAGGTATTAATCATTTTCTATAAAGGAAAATATAGTAAATATTTTATATAATGTAGGCCATATGGTTCCTACTAGTAGTACTAAATTCTGCAATTGTAATACCAAAACAACTACAAACAACATGTAAATAAATAGGCAGGGTTGTGTTCCCTACCCCAAAAAAATACTGTTTACAAAAGCAGGTGTTAAGCAGGAGCAGGCCGACAGGCAGTAGTTGCAACCCATGTTGTAGAGAATCAATATCTAAGGCATGAATCATCCATAAAATAATCAGTTAATTTAATAAACCTTAATTAAAATTCACACCATGTCAGGGAGTTAAGGATTTTACTTGTACAATTTATTGCTCAAAAATTAATTTATTAAGAAAATGGTAAGAATTTAGAGGATTCTAGGAAGAAAACAGAGTAGGAAGTTTCAGAAATCTGTCTCTCCTTTTAGACAACAATTGCACTGGCAAAATCTGTCTGATGTAACTATTTTGGAAATCTGAATTCTATGAAGGTTTGCAACTTTCAGGGGAAGGCTTGGATGATAAATTTTGGTTAATTTCTGTCATGTTTATCTCTTAGCACAGTAATAGCTACTCCTCACCCCTCAGCACCATGGCAGGCAGCTATGCATGTGTCCTTGGAGCAACTTACAACTTGCAAGAGCCAGATTGGCAATAAAAGACCCTGTTCTCTAAATATCTTGCATCTGTACTCTGATGACTGATTGATCGCTGTTTCTAATCAGAGAAGGCAAAGAGGTGGAAACCATTGTGATTGCACCTCCTCACATTATTGTAAGCCCTCCCCCTCTGGCTGAAGTGACTTCCAAAGGATTTAAAGGGCCAACACTTTTTTTAACCTCTTTATTTTTGTCTTATTTCTCTTTTGGGAGCCAGACTTTAGAGACTAAGACATTCAAAAACCACCACTTCACAGGTGAAATTAGAAAGTCACAATGCATGCACAGGGGAAGGCACAGGCTCAGAAAAAAAGTAAAATAAAACCCTGACAATGCCTTAAGCTTAGACCTAAGACTAATCCTCAGCTCAGAGACAGACTACAACCACCAAAAAACAAAAACAAAACAGCAAATTCTGGGGAAAAAGGGAGAGTCTGAGTTCCAGAATTACCACATTGTTTAATTCAAATTCAGTTTTTTTTTTTTAAATCACAAGGCATACACAAAAACTGGCAAGTATTGCCCATTCAAAAGAAAAAAATAAAACAACAGAACTGTCCCTAAAAAAGATGGCAGGTCTACCAGACAAAGACTTTAAAACAGTTGTTTTAAAGATGCTCAAAGAACTCAAGGAAGATGTGAGGAAAGTCAGGTAGAAAATACATGAACAAAATGGAAATATCCATAAAGACACAGAAAATCTAAAAAGAAATTCTGGAGCAGAAAAGTAAAAAGTACAATTAAGTACAATAACGAAAATCTAAAAATTTCCTAAGGGGATTCAAAGGCAGATTTGAGTAGGCAGAAAAAAGAATCAGCAAACTTGAGGATAGGTCACTGGAAATTACATGTCTGAGGAACAGAAAGATAAAAAGAATTTTTAAAAGTTAACAGAGCCTAAGGGGCCTGTGGGACACCTGAAGCAGACCAATATATATTGTGGGAGTCCAAGAGAGAGAAGGAAAAAAGACAATATTTGAGAAAATAATGGCCAAAAACTTTTGAAATTTAATGAAAGACATGAATGTAAACATCCAAGAATCTCAACAAATTCCAAGTAGGATGAACACAAACAGAACCACATCTAGACACATTATAATCAAACTGTTAAAAGACAAAAAGAAGTTTTAAGACAACAAGAGAGAAGCAATCCATCACACACAAGGATCCTCAATAAGATTAATAGCAGATTTCTTACCCGAAAACTTGGAGGCCAGAAGCCAGTGAGCTGATATATTCGAAGTGGAAAAAAAAAAAAGTGTCAGCCAAGAATCTTACATTCAGAAAAATTGTACTTCAAATGTAAAGGAAAAATTGAGACATTTCCAGATAAACAAAAGTTTAGGGAGTTTGTTACCTCTAGATCTGCCCTAAAATAAATGCAAAAGGAAGTCCTGCTGGTTAAATGGAAGGACACTAGACAGTAACTCAGAACCTTATAAAGAAATAAGACTCAGTAAAGGTAAATACATAGGGAATTATAAAAGCTAGTATTATTGTAATCATGATGTGTAACTCCACTTTTTGTTTTCTAAATGATTTACGAGAATAATATTTCTACTAAAAACAGTTATTAGTATAAAACTAATATTATTTTAACTTTGGATTGCATTAAAAATATTTCATGTTTTTGGACACACAATGTATAAAGATGTAATACTGTGATATCAACAGCTGGAAGGAGATGGGGATGGAACTGTTGTTAAAGGAATAGAGTTTTTGAATGTTATGGAAGTTAAGTTTGTATAAATTCAAATTATAGTGTTATAGCTCTGGGAGTTCATCTATAATGCCCATGGTAAACACATAAAAAAAGTAGCTAAAATATATACACAGAAATAAATAAGAAAATAACTTAAATGTTTCACTATTTTAAAAAATCAACTTAACACAAAAGACAATAATATAGGACAACAAAGCTACAGATATTTAGAAAAGCTATACAAAAAAAATACAGCAAAATGACAGAAGTAAGTTCCTTCTTATCAGTAATTACTTTAAATGTAAAGGGATTAAACTCTCTAATCAAAGACAGAGATTGGCAGAACAGATCAAAAAACATGATCCAACTATGTGCTTTTTCTTTGAGAAACTGGATCTCTACATGCACAAGAATAAAGTTGGACCCTTAACTAACATCATATACAAAAAATACCTCAAAATAGACCCATGACCTTTATGTAAGACCTAAAACTATAAAACTCTTAGAAGAAAACATGGTTAAAACTTCAAAATATTGGATTTGACAATGATTACTTGGAAATGATGCTTAAGGCACGTGCAGCAAAATAAAATATAGACAAAGTGCACTTCAGGAAAATTTGGAAATTTTGTGTGTGCATCAAAAACCACTATTACAGAGTAAAACGACCCAAAGAATGAGAGGAAATATTTGCAAACCATTTGTCTTATACAAATTAATACCCATAATATATAGAGAACTCATAAAACTAAACAACCTGATTCAAAATGGGCAAAACATTTGAATAGAAATTTCTCCAAAGAAGACACTCAAGTGGCCAATAACAACATGAAAATATAATGAGTTTGACATCATTCATCATTATGGAAATGCAAATCAAAACTACAGTGAGATACCACCACACATCCATTAGGATAGCTACCACCAAAAAAAAAAAAGAAAATATCATTGTTTCGGTGAGGGTGTGGAGAAATTGGAACCCTTGTACACTGTTGTTGGAAAAGTAAAATGATATAACCTCTGTGGGAAACAGTATGGCACTTTCTCAAAAAAGTTAAAATTAGAATTACCATATGATCCAGTAATTCCTTTTCTGGGTATATAGTCAAAAGAATTGAAAGTGGAGTCTCAAGGAGTTATTTGTACACCTACATTCATAGCAACATTATTCACAATAACTAAAATGTAGAAGCCAATTAATTTACAGTGACATAGGCAAGATGGCACACTAGAGGTGCCTGGTACTCATTTCCTTCACCCCTGAAAAGAAAGGACCAAGGCAACAAATTAAAAAAATAAGATTTGGCTGGAATGTTGAGGGGAGAAAACTAAAGCACAGGCAGGGAGTAAAGAAGTACCTGTGGTGATTGGAAAGCCCAGGAAGTCACATGGAGTCACCCTGCTTCTGCAGCCCCATCTCCCCCACGCATATTGGCCTGGAGTCAGAAATAACTTCCCATTTCAGGGAAAAGATAGGCAGAAGATTCCCACTGGCCCCCAATGCCACCACAAGCACCTGCAGTCCTCCCTACAGAAGTATCGCACAGTCTTTCCAAAACCTGAACATTATTTGGGGAGCTGCTGGGAATTCATGAAGCTGCATTACTCCAGATTAGGATCATAAGGTGTGCACGCCCCACTCCCTACCCATCTACTGTGAGCCAAGCTGCTGCACCATGGCACCATCTTGACACCAGAGCCATTTGTGGAGTGTACCCTGCTCATGGGACCAGTTGCTATTGCACCCCTCCAGCCCTGGAGCTGTCTCTTCATTCCACCAAGCCCACATGAATGACTGAATGCCACAAACCCAGTTGTGTGAAACTGGGGCCTAGGATCAGCTGTGGCTCTGGTCCCACATAGCAGGAAAACCAACCCCCACCACCCACAATTCCAGCCAGAGAAACAGTCTTGCAGCCCCATTCAGGACAAAACCTCTGTTGAAATGGCCTAACCACTGTGTCTCTCCTGCAACCAGGAGAGGCCCACAAGCCAGCAAGTAGATAACACACCCCCAGGCTAGCAGAGCAGCTACAAGTGTCCCCACCCAAGACCTGAAAAACAGCCCTGTCCCCACCATTAACCTTATGGACATACCCCTGGCCTGCCCAATGACCCCATGCCATCCCCATACCCAGAGCCTGAGACACAACCCCATGGGCTACCCCCAGCAGACATATTCCTAAGCCAGCAAAGCAGCCTTGTGCCTGTATCCTGTGACCAAGAAAGAGCCCCAAGTTACCCTTCTCAACACAGACATGCCTCTGGCCTGCTGAATGCCCTGCACCAGAACTAAGGGCCTGAGAAACAGCCCCACAAGCCTCTGCTGAAAGATATGCCCCCAATGTAGCTAAGCAGTCTTGTGCCCACATGCCAGACCAGAAAAAAAGCCCATCCAATCCTAGGCAGACCTGCCTCCAAGCCAGCTAAATAGTCGCATGCCCATGCCCCTGGCCAGAGTAACAGACCCATGGCTCCAACCCTAGTGATCCAGACCCCAGGTTAGCTGACATGTCATGTGCATGCATGTGCCCCCAACTTGAGAGGCAGTCCGGCAAGTCTATACCTGGCAAAGCCATGGCATTACCACCACACGCTCTCATAGCTTAGGCCACTGAAACACTTGCAAAATTCACGAGTATGGATTCCAGTTGGAACAAACTACATGGAGACTACACTACTGCATCCACCTAGATCCAAAGCCAATGCATTCTACCCAACCGACACCCCAAGACCTACTCATGCCAATAAGTCTTTCCCTATGAAACCTACTTCATAAAATTCAAAGAGGCAATTGTTCCACCAGATGCATAGAAATTAGTGTAGTGACACATCAAACATGAAAAAGCAAGGAAATATGATACTTCCAGGGGAACACAATAACTCTCTACTAACAGATACACAAAATACCAGAAAAAAATTTTAAAATAATCATGTTAAGAAAACAGTAGGATACAAGAGAATACAGATGGACAGTACACCAAATCAGAAAAACAATTCATGATTCAAGTGAGAAGTTTAACAAAGAACCAGACAGAAATTCTAGAGCTGAGGAATTCAATGAATGAAATAAAAAACACAATTGAGAGCTTCAATAAAGACTAAACCAAGCAGAAAAAATAATTTCTGCACTTGAAGACAAGTCTTCTGAAATAACTCAGGCAGACCAAAAAGAAAGAAAAAAACAAAAACAAAAAAAGAATAGAAACAATAAAAGGTAGACACCACCCAAGTGTCCATTAATAGATGAATGAATGAGCAAAATGTGGTATATACATACAATGGAATTTTATTTAACCTTAAAAAGATAAATCCTGATATATACTACAATATAGATGAATCTTGATGACTTGTGCTAATTGAAATAAGCCAGTCACAAAAATCAAATACTATGTGATTGCATTTATATAAGGTATTTAGAGAATCAAAAGATAGAGAAATGATGGAATTGTAGTTGCCAGGGGCTGGGGAAGTTGAAATGGGGAATTATTGTTTAATGGGTATAGAGTTTCAGTTGTGCAAGATGAAAAGAATTCTGGAGATGGATGGTAGTGATGGTTAAGCAACAGTATGAATGTACTTAATACCAGTGAAAATGAAGGGAGCCTTAGCCATTTAAAATAGTTAAAATAATAAATTTTTATGTTACGTGTATTTTACCACAGTAAAAAAAAAAATGGAAAAAAACAGTGAGAGGGATGTTTGCTCTACTAAATATTAAGACATGCTATAAATCCATAATAATCAAATAGTGAAGAATTAGAATAGAATAAAAAAATTCAAGGAAATAGAGTTGAGTCCAATAGCAAACATAAACACACATGGTAGTCTAATATATAATATTAAGGGACATTGCATATTAGGAAGAAATGATAGATTATTCAATAAATAATTCTGAGATATTTGAAATTCATATGAAAAAATATAACATTAGATCCATACCTCACACCATATAGAAAGAAAAACTTCCAGATGCAATGATGAGTTAACATTGCCAAACTCCTCCAAAAAAGCAAAGAAGGAATACTTCCAAGCCCATTTTATGAGGCTATCATTATTCTGATATCAAAGCCAGATAAGGACAAGAAAATTATAGACCAATATTTCTGATGAACATACCTGCAAATATTCTCAACAAAATATTAACAAACTGAATTCAAAAACACATTGAAAGAATCATTCACCACAATTGGTAAAGTGGGATTTATTTCTGAGATGCAAGGACTGTTTGACATACACAAATCAATAAATGTGATACACCACATTAACAAAATTAAGGATAAAATAATATGATTTTCCCAATTGATATAGAAAAGGCATTTGACAAAATTAAGCACCCTCTCATAATAAAAACTCTCAATAGATTAGGCATAGAGAGAATGTATCTCAACGCAATAAAGGCCAAATATGATAAACCCATTGCTCACATCATCCTCAATGAGGAAAAGTTGAAAAATCAGAGAGAAGAAAAGAAACGTCCTCTCTCCCCACTTATTTTCAACATAGTACTGGAAGTCCTGACCACAGCAGTTAGGCATGAGAAGAAATAAAAAGCATCCTCATAGGAAAGAAAGAAGTGAGACTGTCTCCATTTTCTGATGACATGATCTCATATAGAGAAAACCATCAAAAACTTGTTAGAATTGATAATTGAATTTAGTAAAGTTGTAGGATACAAAGTCAACTATACAAATGTTATAATGAAATACAGAATATATCTATATTCTTGATGTGAGGAAAGCTTTTCTAAACCACTTACAAAGCCATATATATATATGTGTGTGTGTGTGTGTGTGTGTGTGTGTGTGTGTGTTTAAAAAAAGTAAAAATTACTGCATAAAATTTAAAACTTTATATATTGAAATATATTAAAATGAGATTAAAAGCAAACATGGAAAATAACATTTGTAACATGTATTACACACAAAGTACTGATAGCAATAATTCCTAAAAAGTTTATAGAAATCAATTTAAAAAGGGCAAAAAATCCTGGAGAAAGTGAAAAAAGGGTATTAAAAAGTATTTCACAGATATATAAACAAAATTTACAATGAATGTTTGAAAAGATATTTGACATCCCTAATAATCAAAGAATAGAAGTATTTTCTTTAGTAAATAGAAACTAGAGAAATAAAACTAAAGATACAATTTTTTTGCCAATTAAATCAGAAATGATGGGCAAAAACTGTTATTGTTCAATGCTAATTAGGTTATGAGAAAATAGACTTAAATATGGTAGACTAAAATGTAAGTCAGCACAGCCATTCTGGAGGGCAATTTAGAAAATTCAACGGCCATTCATGCTAAAAACTCTCAATAAACTAGGTATTGATGGAATGTATCTCAAAATAATAAGAGCTATTTATGACACACCCACAGCCAGTTATCATACTGAAGGGGCAAAAAATGGAAGCATTCCCTTTGAAAACTGCCACAAGACAGGGATGCCCTCTCTCACCACTCCTATTCAACATAGTGTTAGAAGTTCTGGCCAGGGCAATCAGTCAAGAGAAAGAAATAAAGGGTATTCCATTAGGAAAAGAGGAAGTCAAATTTTCCCTGTTTGCAGATGACATGATTGTATATCTAGAAAACCCCATCGTCTCAGCCCAAAATCTCCTTAAGCTGATAAGCAGCTTCAGCAAAGTCTCGGGATACAAAACCAATGTGCAAAAATCACAAGCATTCATATACACAAATAACAGACAAACAGAGAGCCAAATCGTGGGAGAACTCCCATTCACAATTGCTACAATGAGAATAAAATACCTAGGAATCCAACTTACAAGGGATGTGAAGGACCTCTTCAAGGAGAACTACAAACCACTGCTCAACAAAATAAAAGAGGACACAAACAAATGGAAAAACATTCCATGCTCATGGATAGAAAGAATCAATATCATGAAAATGGCCATACTGCCCAAGGTAATTAATAGATTCAATACCATGCCCATCAAGCTACCAATAACTTTCTTCACAGAATTGGAAAAAATTACTTTAAAGTCCATATGGAACCAAAAAAGAGCCCGCATTGCTAAGACAATCCTAAGCCAAAAGAACAAAGCTGGAGGCATCATGCTACCTGACTTCAAACCATACTACAAGGCTACAGTAACCAAAACAGTATGGTACTGGTACCAAAACAGAGAGATACACCAATGGAACAGAACAACAGAGGCCTCAGAAATAACACTACACATCTACAACCATCTGATCTTTGACAAACCTGAGAAAAACAAGCAATGGGGAAAGGATTCCCTATTTAATAAATGGTGCTGGGAAAACTGGCTGGCCATATGTAGAAAGCTGAAACTGGATCCCTTCCTTACATCTTATACAAAAATTAATTCAAGATGGATTAAAGACTTAAATGTTAGACCTAAAACCATAAAAACTCTAGAAGAAAACCTAGGCAATACCATTAAGGACATAGGCATGGGCAAGGACTTCATGACTAAAACACCAAAAGCAATGGCAACAAAAGCCAAAATTGACAAATGGAATCTAATTAAACTAAAGAGCTTCTGCACAGCAAAAGAAACTACCATCAGAGTGAACAGGCAACTTACAGAATGGGAGAAAATTTTTGCAATCTACCCATCTGACAAAGGGCTAATATCCAGAATCTACAAAGAACTCAAACAAATTTACAAGAAAAAAACAAACAACCCCATCAAAAAGTGGGCAAAGGATATGAACAGACACTTCTCAAGACATTTATGCAGCCAACAGATACATGAAAAAATGCTCATCATCACTAGTCATCAGAGAAATGAAAATCAAAACCACAGTGAGATAACATCTCACACCAGTTAGAATGGCGATCATTAAAAAGTCAGGAAACAACAGATGCTGGAGAGGATGTGGAGAAATAGCAACACTTTTACACTGTTGGTGGGAGTGTAAACTAGTTCAACCATTGTGGAAGACAGTGATGATTCCTCAAGGATCTAGAACCAGAAATATCATTTGACCCAGCCATCCCATTACTGGGTATATACCCAAAGGATTATAAATCATGCTGCTATAAAGACACATGCACACGTATGTTCATTGCAACACTATTCACAATAGCAAAGACTTGGAACCAACCCAAATGTCCATCAATTATAGACTGGATTAAGAAAATGTGGCACATATACACCATGGAATACTATGCAGCCATAAAAAAGGATGAGTTCATGTCCTTTGCAGGGACATGGATGAAGCTGGAAACCATCATTCTCAGCAAACTATTGCAAGGATAGAAAACCAAACGCTGCATGTTCTCACTTATAGGTGGGAATTGAACAATGAGAACACTTGGACACAGGGCGAGGAACATCACCCACCAGGGCCTGTCATGGGGTGAGGGGAGGGGGGAGGGATAGCATTAGGAGAAATACCTAATGTAAATGATGAGTTAATGGGTGCAGCAAACCAACACGGCACAAGTATACCTATGTAACAAACCTGCACGTTGTGCACATGTACCCTAGAACTTAAAATATAATAATAATAAAAAAATTAAAACTTTAAAAATGCATACCTTTAAACCAGCAATTACACCTGTAGGAATCTACAGTTATTCAAGAATAAGCAAAGATATGTGTTCAAACATATATTATAAACAGCCTATATGTCCATCAAGTTGGAGATGGTTATATAAATTGTAGTATGGCCATGCAAGTGTGGTATAGCTGTGCAAGTGCAACATATATGTAAATAAACATATGTAAATAGATGTGGAAACATATATGGAAACATAAATAACATTATATGTAAATAAACAAGAATTTTAAATATCTATATATACTGATATAAAAAATTCACCAAGATACACTATTAGTAGGAAAAAAGTAACCTGTAAAATTATAAGATTTTGTATATATAAGATGGTCATTTTAGATTTTTAAAAATTTCTGTAGATACACCTATCTATGTAATATATTAAAAATAATCTAGACAAATATATGCAAAACTTTTCGTATTGCCCCATGTGGAAGAAGAAATGAGAAGGAAAGAAGGAAAATGAAGGAAGCCTTAGCTATTTATTTTATTTGTATTTTCATCATGCTTGAAACTTTTACTTGGAAGTGTTCTTATATATCACCTATATAATTAGTAAACTAATTTTTTAAAAAATTTTGACTGGTTTCTCAAGTCCCCCAGTTGCCACAATTTTTTTTGAAAGTAACCAAAATAGAATCCTGAAGACACAGTCTCGCTTGATCTTCTATTGGTTACATCATTAACACACAAAGCCTGTGTGCCTTGTACAAATTGAAACCAACTCACCACATTCAATGAAGGTTATTTTTAGTTTAATGCTGATTATACAGTTTAATGGTCCAGTCTGTAATTTCATTTGACCATGGTGAGAAGACCTGTGAAAAGCAGTATCTCCAATGAAGAAGAAACATAAACACTAGATGAAAACCTGCAAAAGCTCATGGTAAAATAACAGAAGGGAGAATAATGAAAGATTAAAATAAATCTTTACTCACTTGATTCTCACAGCAATCTGTCATGTGGATACTATTGTTGTCCCTATTTTATGAGAGAAAAAACTGAAGCACAGAGAGATTAAATAACTTGCACCAAGGTCAGATAGCTAGTAAGTCTGGAGATGTTAATTTAATCCAGGCATTCTGATCCCAGAACTCAGGCTCTTAAACATAACACTATAAAAAGCCCAAAATAGAAAGAGATGTGTGTAAAAAACCTTTTGAACTTAGAAAGCAGGGTCAATATACCTGATCATAAAGAAAGTTTATCTTGCAGAAAACAGAAATAATGAACAGAAGCAATGCCATTTAGAATGCCTTATATAACAATGCTAGGTTAAAGTTAGCAATTTTTCTGTATGAATAATCAATTGATCCAGCATAATTTATGAAAAAGACCATCCTACTCCATTGCACTGTGCTGGAGCCTTTGTCACTATTTAAGCGACTGTGTAGGTGTGGATAAGTTTCTGGACTCTTTTTCTGTTCCATTGTTTTATTTAACCATCATTAAACCAAATCATATTGTCTTGATTACTGAAACTTGTTAAGTTTTCATACATGATTGTGTGTGTCTTCCAGCGTTGTTGTTTTCTTCAAGACTATTTTGACTAATTTTAACATTTTGTATTTTCAAATAAATTTTAAAGGCAGCTTGGAAATTTCTACTAAGTTGGCCTACTGAAATTTCCATTGAGATTCCATTAATCTTGTATATCAATCTAGGGAGAATTGATAACTTTGTGATATTGACTTGATCTACTCACATGATATATCTTCACTTAATTAGGTTTTAATTTTGTTTTAATTGTTTTTGTTTTTTTTCTGTGTAGAGTTCTTATACTATTAAATTCATAAATCTGAACCTTTATCTTATACCATACACAAAAAATCAATTCCAGATAAATTATAGACATAACTGTTAAAGGTAAAACAATAAACTTCTAGAAGGTGACATAAGAGAATTTTCATGATATTGGCATAGGCAGAGATTTCAATAGGATACCAAATTGGATTTTAATAACATTAAAATTAAGAATTTTTCTTCATTAAAAAATTAAGAGAACTAAAAGTCCACAAAAAGGTAGAGGATAATTGCAAGACAAATATTTCCAATGAAGAACTCATATCCAGAATATACAAATCAGTAAGAACAAGACAGAAAGTTCATTTTTTAATGGGCAAAAGATTTGAAAGTGCACTGTGCAGCGGAAGATATTTAAATGGCTAATACACATAAGAAAAGGTGCTAAATACCGCGGGGCCTGGGTCCCAGCCGGCAGCAGAGAGCTGGTCGCCCACCACCCCAAGCTACTGCTGCCGCCTGGCTATTTCCCGGCGGGGCGGTACGTGGTGGTGGCTGAGAGCCCCCTGCCGCCTGGCGAGTGGGAGCTGTGCCGCGCAGTCCCGGGCCCTGCTTACGAGGAGGAGGGCACTCCCCTGCGCTACCAGCGTCTGGTGCCCTCTCGCAGCCGCATCGTGCGGACGCCCTCCCTGAAGGACAGCCCGGCAGGCCGGGGGCTCAGCAAGGCCGCCGTGTCCGAGGAGCTCAAGTGGTGGCACGAGCGTGCACGCCTCCGGAGCACCCGCCCCCACTCACTGGACCGCCAAGGAGCTTTCCGGGTCAGGAGCCTGCCCCTTGGGAGAGAGGGCTTCGGGCGAGCCCTGGGACCCCGGGCACAGGTGCCCACAGTGTGTGTGCTGCGGAGATCGCCTGACGGGGCCCCTGTGCAAGTCTTTGTACCTGAAAAAGGAGAGATCATCAGCCAGGTGTAACTCTGCGCCCCACGCTGGAAAAAACTGTTTCATAGAGGGGCTGGGCTGAGACCCCCCCACCCCTGAGTGCCTCTTTCAGCTTCCCCATCCCCATCGCAGGCCGATGACCTGGAGCTGAGACCTTTTATTATTTTTTTTTTACACGACTTTTTTCAGAAGCCCTGACCTAAGGATTTATATATGTGGATTGTCCTCAATACCCCTGTGATATGATTATGTTTTATCCCCCAGAGTTTGGCCTACTGGACTTAAGGCCTTGCCTGTCTGACTGACAGCCTCTATCTCCTTATATAAGACAAGTGGCAGGGGACGAGTGAAGCAGAGTGGGCCACCTTGGGAGTTCTCCAACACTCTGTGCTCTGGTTCTAAGAAATTCCCTGGGGAACTGCCCCTGGCCCTCCTGTCCCACTATTGCTGGAGGCTGGACATGGTACATACTCATGCACATGACTCTCCCCCATTTCCCAGGTCTCTGGGTACCCCAGCCTGGGCTGGGGGAGAATCTCTTCCCCCTTTCTAATGTGCTCTGTGATGCACACACCAAGTGGTAGGTCAAAGGTCAGTATATCCCGGTGGTGTATTGTCTTGCTAGACCCTGCTATTTTCCTGACCCCCTAAATCCTCTTTAGGGACCCAGTCACTATACCCTGTCTATGCCCTGTGGGCTCCCAGACCCCTGAGCTTTGAGTCAGTGGCATCACGGTTTGTAGCCTCAGGGGGTCCGGCTGGGGGCTGATCCATGCTTGTGGTTAGTGGACAGCAGCCACCCTTTGACAGCTACCTCTGGGCATCTCAAGGGCTTGCAGCCCCACTGCTCCTTCTAACATTTTGTTTGTTTGTTTTTGAGATGGAGTCTCGCTCTGTTGCCCAGGCTGGAATGCAGTAGCAAGATTTCGGCTCACTGCAACCCCCGTCTCCCGGGTTCAAGCGAATCTCCTGCCTCAGCCTTCCGAGTAGCTGGGATTACAGGCAAGCACCACCATGCCTGCTAATTTTTTATTTTTAGTAGAGATGGGGTTTCATCATGTTGGCCAGGCTGGTCTCGAACTCCTGACCTCAAGTGATCCACCTGCCTTGGCCTTTCAAAGTGCTGGGATTACAGGCATGAGCCACCGCACCTGGCCCTTCTAACGTTTTTTCATCATAGTCCCAAAAACCAATACTTTACAAGTGGTTTTGGAAAGGCACCACTTTTGTGGCATGTTCTGGTTGGGAGAGGGAGTCACAGTTCCTACTCCCCCCACCAGCTATGCTTCTGCTCTGAGAAGGTGGTTATTTATACAAACATGGACATACTCACTCCCAAGGGCTGATGAGATGCTGAATTTTCTTTGGGGGCATTCATTAATTGTCCCAGCTGCAGCGACTGGAGCAAGTCTGGAAGCTGCCTGTGCTAAGACCACCCAGCTGTCCCTGGGTTCTCATCCTAGGGCCTTCTTTGCTTCCAGGTCAGGGGACCTGCTTCAATGAGAAAGCAACTGAATTGAGGCTAGGAGAGGTAGGGAGAGCTGAGTTCTGACTTCACCTGTGCAGAACTCTCTGCCCCCATGTTACCTGGACTGGAACAGACTGTGAATATAGCAGAAGGTTCCAAGAACTCTGGTGTCTGACCTAGAAGAGGCACAGTTCTCTCTACTGGAAAGAAAACGATGTAGCCGATTGCACAAGGGTGCCAAGGGAAGACCCAGGATGGCCCATCAAAGGAACCTGGGGGAGGATGCAGGAGGCTGAAGGGATGCACCTGGCATTTCTCTCACTGTGCTCTTACCGCATCAGCAACCCCCAACTTTTGGGCCTACTCTGCCCCCCATGCGTGAATACCCTGCTTGGATGCTGTGCTTTTCCGGTTTGTCTCTAAGCCCCTTTCTCCAGGGCATGTTGGTTTCCCTGGCCTCTCAGTGTCCTAACTGGAGCCCAGAGTGCCTTGTACTGAGCCAGGAGACGGCTGAGCACTGGCCCTCCACACCTAAGCGTCCTTTACATTAACTTATTGGTCTTGTATAACACCTGGTGCCATTGCCAAGTGGCTGTGTCCTCAGCTACAGAGCTGGAATTGTGTGGGGTTTAGTGCTAAATACTTCAATAAAGTCTGTTTTTTGTGATTGGCTGAAAAAAAAAAAGAAAAGGTGCTAAATATCATTGTCGTAAGCTTGATGCAAATTAAAACCCAAATGAAATACCAATACACAACCACCAGCATACCATTTTTTTAAATTGACAATACCAAGTGTAGACAACAGGGTGGAACAACGGGAACATTAGAGTAGAAGTGTAAATTGATGTGAGTGCTTTGAAAAAATATTTGGCAGTACCTATTAAAATTGAACATATGCATACTTTATGATCCAGCAATCGGATTAGATAACCATATACTCAATAGAAATATGTACATCTGTACACTATATTCGTAGCGGCATTACTCATAAAAACCCCAAATGAAGCAATCTAAATGTCAATCAACAGTAGATAAATAAAGCTGTGGTATCCATACAACCGAATACTATACAACAATGAAAATAAAATGAATAAATTTTTGCTTTCTGCAACACCATCGATGAATCTCAGAAACAAAATGTTGAGCAAATGAAATCAGACACAAGTACATTCTTTCATTTCATGCCAATAAAGCTGAAAGCCAGAGAAAGCTAAACAATGATGATAGAAGTATAGTAGTTATATTTGGATAGAAGTAAAGATTAGAGGAGAACATAAAGGAGGATTCTAGGGTGAAGCAAATGTTTTATTAATCTAGGTGTTGTTACACAGATGTTTTTACTTTGTAATATTCTTTGAGTGAACATTTATGACTTGTACACTTTTTTTTCACATCTGCTATACTTCAGTAAAATGGTTTACTTTAAGAAGCTTATCTATGACTTCAGAATAATGATCATAGGGAAAACTACCTAAGAGGTACCATACTTATTACCTGGGTAACAAAATAATCTGTAAACCAAACCCCTGTGACATGCAACTTACCCATGTAACAAATCTGCACATGTATCACCTGAACCTAAAATAAAAGTTGGGAAGAAATAAAAATAATGATGATACAAAAAGAATCATGATATAAAGAGAGGTTGAAAATGTTCATGGAAGAAGAAAAATGTCAAATGATCAAGAATAGGAAATAGTACAAAGACCTGTCTGCCTTAAACATTCTGGGAACAGCAGTTTGGTTCATCCCTTTTCTTAAATTTTATGTTTTAGTTAATCATGGCCAAAAAGAAAGAGGTGCTTGATTCTCAATCTATTATCAGGCCTCTTACTGTTGAAGAAGTTCTATATCATATTCCGTGGCTAGATAAAAACAAAGATTATATAAACTTCATTCAGGTAACACTTTTATTTCCTATTAATAATATTTTTAATGTACTAACAAATAATCTTTAAAATAAGAATTTAACCATGATACTCTCTAGTTTAATATTCTCTAAATGTTCCTTATTTCTGATAGGATAAAATCAAAATCCTTTTGAATAATATGCAAAATGTTTCTACAATCTGTTTCCTGCCTACTTCAGCTTTGTCTTCTGTTTTCCATTGTCACATATCCTCTATACTCTATTTATACTGAACCACTCATGGTGTTCCATGCACATTACATGTTTTTCTAATTCCATTCATCTGTGGGTGCTATTTACTTTTCTTGAAATGCCCTTGTTTTTCACTTTTTTTTTTCAAACTTTTCCTGCTTATTTCTTTTCTGGAAACATCCCCACCAGAGTACTCAGAGAAGTAGGTTTTGGGGCCAAATGCCCCAGTAGAAGACCTTCCTGTGAACTATATTGTTTTCAGAGGACCAATATTGCTGCCATTGTATCCAATATGTACCTTTATTATAGCATTAAGTACATTACATTACAATTATCTTTAGGTCTCCCTCCTACTATATTTTTTATCTCATCTACCTTTTGAATACCCAGCCCCTAGCACTTTGCATAATGCATAGTGGATGCTCAGTTAAGTGCTTGTGGAATGAGCAAATAAATGGATCTAACTTGTTCTAATATTCTTTTTTTAAATATCTATTTGATGTCAAAAGACCAATTATATTTTTCTACCTGATTAAACATTTTG
This sequence comes from Homo sapiens, assembly GCF_000001405.40. Lineage (NCBI taxonomy): Eukaryota > Metazoa > Chordata > Mammalia > Primates > Hominidae > Homo > Homo sapiens. The sequence continues at coordinate 74,137 of NW_019805492.1, read as the reverse complement.
AATAAATGAATATTTTATTTACCTGATCAGCTGTTTAGAGCAAGGGTATGTATGACATATGCATGCCATTAGCCTACATCTGTTCCCATTACTTTTCATCCAGATGAAAGATTTTTATCCCCTAATTACATTCTCATTCCTAGAGTACTTCTTTTCTAATCCGTGTATAAATACCCTATCTAAAATTGCATATATTCACAAAGATCCACCTTCCTCTTTACTATTCATAATTTCTATTTTCTGTTACAAACTTATTACTAATATATTTCAGATATTATCAAATGATAGTAATTTTTAAATGTAAAAACTTTTTTTAAAAATGCAAATTTTAGGCCGGGTATGGTGGCTCACGCCTGTAATCCAAGCACTTTGGAAGGCCAAGGTGGGCAGAAAACCTGAGGTCAGGAGTCTGAGACCAGCCTGGCCAATGTGGTGAAACCCCGTATCTACTAAAAATGCAAAAATTAGCTGGGCATGGTCGTGGGCACCTGTAATCCCAGCTACTCAGGAGGCTGAGGTAGGAGAATTGGCTCAAGCAATTCTCCTTGGCTTGAACCCAGGAGGGGGAGGGTGCAGTGAGCCAAGATTGCACCACTGCACTCCAGTATGGGTGACAGAGCGAGACTCCGTCTCAAAAAAATAAATAACAAAAATGCAAATTTTAACATTCCCAACCACTTCTAAAATGTTGTTTATAGTTTATGTATTTGGTGGTATCTTTTAGGAAAAAGCCAAAGTTGTAACATTTGATTGTGGAAATGATATATTTGAAGAAGGTGATGAGCCCAAAGGAATCTATATCATTATTTCAGGCATGGTAAAGGTAAGGCAGAGGTTTTTGTTTTGTTTTGTTTTTTTGTTTTGAGACAGAGTTTCTCTCTTGTTGCCCAAGCTGGAGTGCAATGGCATGATCTTGGCTCACTGTAGCCTCCACCTCCTGGGTTCAAGTGATACTCCTGCCTCAGCCTCCCAAGTAGCTGGAATTGCAGGCACGCACCACCACACCCTGGTAATTTTTTGTATTTTTAGTGGAAACGGGGTTTCACCATGTTAGCCAGGCTGGTCTCAAACTCCTGACCTCAGGTGATCCGCCCGCCTCAGCCTCCCAAAGTGCTGGGGTTACAGGCGTGAGCCACTGCGCCTGACCAGGCAGAGTTATTTATAAATGCACTTGTGATCATAAGTTTTTAAAGAAAACTTTATGAAATTGATAATTAGTAGCTTTCCATGTTAAGAACTGCATAGTTTCTTTTTTAGGACAGTGACTACCATCTAATGATAAATTTTCATGTTCAGACACAATGGATAACACTATCCATCATTTTAAAGCCATACTTTCTCACAGATAACAGGAAACTTTCAAAAGAATTATCTTTCACGATGGACAATTATAATATAAATTGTTATTCATCTTATGCTGATCTGAGTTAGAGATTTAGCCATCCTAAAATGGGTATAGATTAACTAAGTAGGAGGAATCAGAAAGATCAGAGTATTTAAGAATGCTTTGTGTCTAAATCATTGCTAATTTAATAATTTTACTTAAAAAGAAATAAAATATTTATTCTCAAGACAATATGTAAATATTAGAATTGTTCAAACCAAAGTGGAAAAAGTCATAAATTAGTTTTGGTAATACAAGTTAACTGGCATATGTATTTTTCTCTTTCTTTGTTCCTGAACAGCTTGAAAAATCAAAGCCAGGTTTAGGGATTGATCAAATGGTGGAGTCAAAGGAGAAAGATTTTCCGATAATTGACACAGACTATATGCTCAGTGGAGAAATAATAGGAGAGATAAACTGCTTAACTAATGAACCTATGAAATATTCTGCCACCTGCAAAACTGTAGTGGAGGTCAGAAAAACTTCGCCTGTGACTTTTGTTGTATTTTGTTAAATAATATCAGATTTAAGGTTATTTTAGTATTTAGTATAAGTTTACAGTCTAGTTGACAATTTACTTTTAAAAACTAGGAATTATAAAGGAACAAAACTTGCCGAATTACACTCATCTAGTATAAAGCCCTGGCAAAATAGCTTATGAATGTTAATCAACCATACAGAAAGAAAGATGTATCCAGAAAAACTGGCAATATAAGCTCTTTCATGGGGAAATTGGCTAACATATGTTAATTGTCAATACCATAATTTGAAAGATGAGAAAGGGGATAAAGACAGGGCTAGAATCTATTAATATAAAAGTTGGACAAAGTGCCTGGAAGTTTCCCTACACATGATTGAGAACAAAATCCTCACAGTACCAAGGGCTCCCACTGGCTTAATTTGAACTCAAAAAGAATAATGACTGCAAATAATTAAACTCCATAAATATGTGAAAACCCATACATTACATACATTGATAATGATGCTAATTTTTAAAATTTCTACTGAGGTTGCTAGGATATCATTTTATTACTTTGAAAATGGATTTTTTAAGAGAAAGAAGTAAACATTTATCTTGCCTTTCTTCTATGAACTCTTTCAAAGTAGTTTTTTAATTGGGAAAAATTCTATATAGAATTTCAGCTAATGAACGCAGAATGAGAGAAACAGAAAATCTCCATTGTGCCATCGCTAATAAAATAATAGATCTAGGAAACAACCTTCAGTTGGTGCTAAAACTACTAAGTGAATGTTAATAGAAAACGTTATAATGAAGGAAATACTACCTAAGGACATTGGTCAATATTAGGGTCACTAAATGGGACAACCAGGCATGATGTACCTCATGATGTGATGTAGCAGAAGTGCTAGCACCACCCATGAAGTCTCACACAAGAAAAAATCTGAAGTTCTTCAAGTCTATAGATTGAATCAGTTTACAGAAAATACAGGAAGGAGAGAAACAGGTTAATTGACAGCAAGAGGGAATAATCAGCTAAATTTAGAATGTGGAAGAGTCTGTAGACAAATAACCTGATTTCTTTAACAAATCAATGGCATAAAATGTGAATGGAGTAGCAGACATGGTGGCTTATACCTGTAATCCCAAAACTTTGGGAGGCTGGGGCAGGAGGATTGCTTGAGGCCAGGAGTTTGAGACTGGCCTGCAACATATCTGCAAAAAATAAAAAAAAATTAGCCAGGCATGGTGACACATGCCTGTAGATCCAGCTACTTGGGAGGCTGAGAAGGGAGGATTGCTTGAGCTCAGGAACCCAAAGTTACAGTCAGTCATGATTGCACCACTGCACTCCAGACTGGTAACAGAGCCAGACTCTGTCTCTGTTTACAAAAAAAAAAATATGTAGTGGTAGAGGGGAAGAAGGCAAAGAAAAATTATTAAAAATGGACTTAAGAGATATAATAACCAAATAAATACAATTGCTGTAATTTGAACAAACCAATTATAAAGAGACCTATTTGAGATAATTTAGGACATTTTAATGTGAACAGAATACTAAATGATATTTTTATTTTTGGCATATAATCACATATGTTATATATTTAAAATATCTCTATCATTAAAATATTTAAAAATAAAATTATATATTTATGATACCTGGAATTTGCATAAAACACTCTAGCCTTCTGCTTTGGGCTATAATGAAGTTACTAGTAACAGAGCAGCACATCTGCTATAAAAAAAAACCCTAAAACTTAATAAAATATATGAGGCAAATGTGATTTTTTTTCTATTTAATTTTTTTTTTTTTGAAAAAAATTTTTTTCATCCTTTTATTTTAGGTACAGGGGTACATGTGCAGGTTTGTTATATAGGTAAACTTATGTTACCCAAAACTAAGAGATGAGAAACTCACAAGGTAAGCCCTACATTCACCCCGATCCTCTGCTTAGGACCATTTCCTGACCATGATGCAATAAGAATCCAAGCAGAAGATGGCGATCCTGCTAAGCTGAGAAATGAGACATCAGAAGTTGTGGAAGCTAACTTGGCTAGAAACTGCAGAGCAGGAAGTAAGACAAAGTCTTACACGGAGAAAGACCCAAGTAGCCTGTGTGGTGGTTCTCTACAAGTCCTTGGTTGAGAGACAGGCTGCAAATGCCCAGGATGAGACACAACTAGATTTACCAGATTGTTAAGAAAGGAAGAGAGATACCAGGAGTCAGGCAAGGTGTGGCGGGTCACGCCTGTAATCTCAGCACTTTGGTAGGTTGAGGCTGGTGGATCACCTGAGGTCAGGAGTTTGAGACCAGCCTGGCCAACATGGTGAAACCCTGGCTCCAATAAAAATACAAAAATTAGCTGGGCACAGTGGTGCACACCTGTAATCCCAACTACTTAGAAGGCTGAGGCAGGAGAATCACTTGAACCCAGGAGGCAGAGGTTGCAGTAAGCTGAGATCGCACCACTGCACTCCAGCCTGGGTGACAGAGAAAGACTCTATCAACCAAAAAAAAAAAAGAAAGAGAGAGAGAGAGAGACACCAGGAGTCAAGAAGTCAAGATATCTAACAGAAAGGAAAGATCTGTTAAAATCTCAGGCCCACAGCTGAGAGACCAGAAAGAATAGGCCTTAGGAGTAAGAATCATGACCTAGAAGAAGGCTTGCTCTTATTCTAAGACCTAACAAAGCCTTGGAGCAAGCCCTGACAGCACCCATGGTGGAGACAGAGTTTGGAGACAAGTTACACTGTCTTAGATACCTGAGGTTTTCTACTGATTCACTCAAGCAAATTGTAAAACCCAGCCTATACAAGCTCAGTGTGATCAGATAGTAAATGAACTGCTTACTATAACAAAAATCAACAATTTTCAGAAGAAGATAAAATAATCTAGAATCTCTGTAGTGTTATCATGAGCAACCATGAATTACAAAACAAGCAAAGAAGCATGAAATTGTGATCTATAGTATAAAAGGTGAGGAGTAAAGCATTCGGTAAAAACCATCATGGAGATTGTCCAGACTATAGATTGGTCAAAGACTTTAAACCAGTTGTTAAAAATCGATTCTGGAGAGAGGTGGCCAACATGGCTGACTAGAAGCAGCTGGTGTGTGCCGCTCTCACAGAGAGGGATGGAAGGGGCAAGTAAACATAGCACTTTCAACTGAAACATCCAGGTACACACATTGGGACTAATCAAGGAAACAACTCAATTCACGGAGAACGGAGAAAAGTAAGGCAGGATGACCACCCACCTGGGAGTGACACAGAGTCAGGGGAACCTCCCCTGCCCAGGGAAGCAGTGAGTGAATGAGGAGTCCCAGGAACCCATGCTTCTCCCATGGATCTTTGCAACCCTCCAGTCAGGAGGACCCACTCCACTAGGGTTTGCAGTCTGACATGCAGAGCTATGTGGAGTCTTGGCAGAGCAGCCACTCAGGCACATGTGGAGCCCTAGGAGCCTTAGATACCCAGGCCTCCCAGCAAAAGCAGCTGCAACCCTCAGCAGGAGGTTAGATCCCTATACCTACTCCTAAGAAAGGGACTGAATCCAGGGGACTGACCAATGATGGTCTGCAGGACCGTGGTACATCACATGATAAGACCCACTGGCTTGGAAATCCAGCCAGCCACGGGTAGCAGCATTGCATCTCTCTGAGAAAGAGCTCCCAGCAGGTCGGGTGGGCCACCACCTTTGCTGTTTCACAGCCTCAGCCACTGTTGCCTTAGGGCTCCAGCAAATCGGTGGCAATGAGGGACTAGAGCAGTCCCTCAGCACTGCTCAGCAGTACTATGGAGAAGCAGTCAGACTTCTTATTCATGCACATCCCGAATCCCATTTCTCCTCACTAGGCAGAATCTCCCAACTGGGGTCCTCCAATCACCCCTGCTGGTGTTGGCCAACTGAGTTTCAAACCTCCTTGTTACAGAGCGCCCAGAGGGAGGGTGGACCACCATCTTTGCTGTTTGGTCAACTTAGCTATTCTTGCCTTCGGGCTTTGAAGAGTCCAAGGCAACTGAAGGCTGGAGTGGACCTCCAGCTAGCACAGCTGCTCTATGAAAACATGGCCAGACTGTTATTTTTAAGTAGGTCTCTGATCCCATTCCTTTTCACTGGGTGGGACCTCCTGACCGGGTTCTCCAGCTACCTCCTACAGGTGTGTTCGGGCTGGCAATAGGTTCATACCTCCCTGGGGCAGAGCTCTCAGAGGGAGAGGCAGGCCACCATCTCTGCTGTTTCGCACCCTCCACTCATTGTTACCTTCAGGCACTAGAAAGTCCGAGGTGACTAGGGACTGGAGCGGACACCCAGCATACTGCAGCAGCCCTATGGAAAAGTGGCCAGACTATTACATGGAGCTAGTTCCCACATCTCCTCACTGGGCAAGTCCTCCAGGCCTGGGCCTCCAGCCACCCTTTGTCAGGGCTATTGAGCCAGTAGCAGTTCTGCAACTCCCTGGACAGGACTCCCTTGGGAAGGGGAGTTGCTATCCTTGCTGTCTTGCAGCCCTTGCCCTTGCTGTCTCCAGGATCCAGAGAGTCTGTAGGGACCAGAGGCTGGTCCAGACCCCCAGCAAAGAGCAACCAGCTCACAGAAAAGTGGCCAGACTGTTCTCCACGCAGATCCAGATCCTCACTGGGCAGGGCTGCCTGGCCTGGGACTCCAGCACAATGACCCAACCCTTGCCTGATCACCACAATCAAAGACAGCCCAGCATTTCTTCAAGGAGGAAATCATAGAGTCAACTCACAACCCCTCTGCTACTACAGTTGCAGTGGCTCAGCCCTTACAGCCCTGACACTGGAAAGGAACAAAGGGCCTAGTCATTATGCTGGCACCTCCAGCACATGGCAGCCACCATATGGAGGTGAACCACCACCCCAACTCTTCACCAGGCAGGGCCCCCAGCTCATGAAAGTAGAACAGTTGCTCCATCCACAACTGCGCATACTCACTGGTAGTGGCACAGAGGTTGCCCAGGGAGAGGCTCCTAGAGACATACAACTGCACCCCCGCTCCCTCCACTGCCACAGTAACAGTTGTATCCCTGCTGCCCTTAGTCTGGGGAAGAAACAAAGAGCCTGAGGGCTACACCCAAGCTTACCACATGCCACTGCTACCAGAGGAAAGACCAATCTTTCCTCCCTGTGAGCTTTTGGCCCCCTGATCCCCAGCATGAAAAATCCTAAGGTCATGACAACAGTACACACAACCCACCCCTCCAGCTGACCAGTAACAGCAGCTCCACATTTCATGGAGGTGGAGCCCCCAGGGGCAACAACTTACAGAATGGAAGACAATGCTTGCAAACTATGCATCTGACAAAGGTTTATAAGCCAGAATCTCTAAGAAACTTAAACAAATTAACAAGCAAAACACAAACAACCCCATTAAAAAGTGGGCAAACCATATGAACCGACAATTTTCTAAAGAAGATGTAAACATGGCCATCAAGCATATGAAAAAATTCTGACGATCACTAACCATTTACATTTGAAATACAAATCAAAACACAATGAGATACCATCTCACACCAGTCAGAATGACTATCATTAAAAAGTCAAAAAATAACAGATGCTGGCAAGGCTGTGGAGAAAAGGGAATGCTTATATCCTACTGATGGGAATGTAAATTAGTTCAGCCATTGTGGAAAGAACGTTGGCAATTTCTAAGAGAACTTAAAACAGAATTACCATTCAACCCAACAATTTTGTTATTGGGTATATACAGAAAGGAACATAAATCATTCTACTATAAAGACACATGTATGTGTATGTTCTTTGCAGCACTATTCACAACAGCAAAGACATGGAATCAACCTAAATGCCCATCAACAGTAGACTGGATAAAGAAAATGTGGTACATACACACCATGGAATACTATGCAGCCATAGAAAAGAATGAGATCATGTCCTTTGCAGCAACATAGATGGAGGTGGACACTATTATCCTTAGCAAACTAACACAGGAACAGAAAAGCAAATACTGCATGTTCTCATTTATAAATGGGAGCTAAACATCAAGTACATATGGACACAAAAAAGGGAGCAAGATACACCAGAGCCTACTTGAGAGTGGAGTGTAGGGAGGAAGGTAAGGATCAAAAAACTACTTATCATGTACCATTATGCTTATTACCTGGGTGATAAAATGATCTGTACACCAGATCCCTGCGAAATGTAATTTACCTATATAACAAACCTGCACTTCTATCCCTAAACCTAAATGAAAAAATTTTAAAAAGCACACACGTCAAAATTTACTTAAGGACTAGAACTTTTTAATAGTACTATACATACTGAGATTTTTGGAATTTGTGTCCTTCCCACAAAAACAACTCCATGCCAGATGGTTTTACTGATGAGTTTTATCAAATATTTCAGGAAGAAATAATATGAATCTTACACAGACTTTGTCAGGAAACAAAGGAGGAAAAAAAGCTTTCCAGTGCATTTTATGGGGCCAGTGCAAACAAATACTAAACCTTGAAAAAACATTTCAGCAAAAGAAAATTACAGACCAATAATCCCACATTAATGTGGACACAAAAAAATCATTAATAAGATACTAGCAAGTTGAATCTAAGAATATATTAAAAGGATTAGACATCAAAACTAAATAAATGAGCTTTATTTTAGGAATATAAGATTGATTCGACATTTGAAAATCAACCATTGTGATTCAACACATTATAAGAAAAAACAGAAAATTTATATAAGATATTCAAGTAGATATAGAACAAAGAGAATTTTACAAAATGTAACATTCTTTTAAAAAATCTCCAAAAACTCAGAATAGAATGCAACTTCCTGAACTCAATAAGGGGCATTTATTATAAATTTACAGCTAACATCACATCTAGTGATGAAAAACTAAGACGGTAAGACTGAGAGCAAGACAAGAATGTCCACTCTCACCACTTCCATTCAGTATTATATTGGAGTTGTTAACTAGTACAATAGGGCTAGAAAAAGAAGTAAACTGACATAAAAATTACAAAGAAAGCACTAAAATTGTCTCTGCAAGATGGCATGATATCTACATTTTTAAGATTCTACCAAAAATAACTAGAATTTATAATGAATTTAGTAAGATGGTAAAATACAAGTCCAAATTCCAAAAATTAATTGTGTTTTCATATACTAGTAACAAACAACTGGAAATAAAATTTTTAATTCTTTTTACAAAAATAATCAAAATATAAAAGAGATAAAGTTAATGAAATACGTGGAATAACTCTACAATGAAAACCATAGAATATTTCCTAGATAACTGAAAAAAGATTAAATAAATGGAGAAGTACACCGTATTTGTGGATTAGAGCCCATAATATTATTAAGATATCCATTCTTCAAAAATTGATCTATAGATTTAATACAACCTCAATCCAACTCTCCACAGACTCTTTTTGTAGAATATATATGAAAATGCAGAGGACCTATAATAGGCAAAACAAATATAAAAAAGTTAGATGATTTACACTACCTGATTTAAAGGCATACATCCTGTGTAATTAAGGCCACATGATGTTGGCTTTAGGTTAAGATGTAGAGATCAATACAACAGAAAAGAGAATCCATAAATAAATCCACACATACATAGTCAATAGATTTTTGACAAAGGATCAAATTATCTCAATGGAAAAATTACAATATTTTCAACAAATAATCCTGAAAACACTGAATATCCATGCAGAAGCAATGAACCTTGATCCCCATGTACTAGGCCCAAAATGTAATGTGGCATGATCATATACTTTAACATGAAAGATAGAACTATATAAATTATAGAAGAAAACATAGGAGAACTTAAGGTAGGCAAAGATTTCTTAGCCAGGATTTTTTTAAGTACTAACCATAAAACGAAATATTGATAAATTGGATGTCACCAAAATTAAAAATCTTCTGCTCTTCAAAAGACATCACAAAAAATATGAGCAGCAGGCTCAGGGAAAAATATGAGTCATGGGCTTAGGGATTTTTCAAAAGTTCCCCAAGAAAAGGATTTGATAATAGAATCTATAAATAACTCTTAACAATTCAAAAATAAGAAGACAAACTACTGAATTAAAAACTGGGCAAAGAATGTGAACAGACACTTTACAAAGAATATACAAATGGCCAATAAACACATGAAGATGTTCACCATCATTAGCTGCCAGAAACATGCAAATTAAACCCACAGTGGTACGTCAATACACACCTACTACATTGCCTAAAAATAAAAACACTGAATAACAGGTATTGGCAAGGACGTGGAGCAACTAAAATTTTCTTTTCTTTTCTTTTCTTTTTTTTTTCTGACAGAGTCTCACTCTGTTGCCCAGGCTGGAGTGCAATGGCTCCCAATCTCAGCTCACTGCAACCTCCGCCTCCCGGATTCAAGTGATTCTCCTGCCTCAGCCTCCCGAGTAGCTAGGATTACAGTCACGTGCCACCATGCCCAGATAATTTTTGTATTTTTAGTAGAGACGGCATTTCGCCATGTTGGCTAGGCTGGTCTCCAACTCCTGACCTCAGGGGCTCAGCCCGCCTCAGCCTCCCAAAGTGCTAAGATTACAGGCATGAGCCACCACGCCCAGCTGAAATTTTCATACATGGCTGATGAGAGTGTAAAATGTTGCAACAACTTCTGAAACAGAGTTTTAATTTGAACAGTGGTTTTGGTCTGAAACAGTTTGTCAGTTGCTTACAAAAGTTAAATATACATGTCCTATACTACACACAAAAAAAGATACTGACCCAAGAGAAATAAAATCCAATGTACACAAAACTTGTTTTTGACTATTCATAGAAGTTTTATTCTTAGTAACCAATGATCTGTTCACTTTTAGCATAAGCATTTTATTTTTGCCTAAAAAGTTTGCTCCCCTCAAATAACATATTTATAGATGCATATATTTATCTAAAAAGGTCAAATAATTGTTAGTAATTTGTTTTCTATATTTTATCTTATAAAAAATATGTGTAAATCATACATCTGATAATGGGTTTGTATCTAAAATATATAAGGAACTCAAAAGCTCAACAGCAAGAAAATAAATAATACAATTAAAAATAAGCAAAGGACCTGAATAAACATTTCTCAAAAGAAGACATACAAATGGCCAACAGGTATATAAACAATGTTCAAAATCATTAATCATCAGAAAAATGCACATGAAAACTACAATGAGATACCACCTTACACTAGTCAGAAAGGCTATTCGAGTTCCTTGTAAATTCTGGACATTGGTCCATTGTCAGACGCATAGTTTGCAAATATATTCTCCCATTCTGCAGGGTTTTTGTTTCTCCCAGTGAATAGGTTGCCTGTTCACTTGATTATTTATTTATTTTTGTGGTACAGAAGCTATTTAGTTCAATTATGTTCCATTTGTCTATTTTTGTTCTTGTTGCCTGTGCTTTTGAGGTTTTAGTCATGAATTCTTTGCCTACACCAATGTCTAGAAGACTTTTCTCTAGGTTTCCTTCCAGCATGTTTATAGTTTAGGATCTAACGTTTAACTCTTTAATCCATGTTGAGTTGATTTTTTTAATGTGGTGAGAGATAAAGGGTCCAGTATTATTGTTTTGCATAAAGCAATCAAATTTTCCCAATACCATTTATGGAAAGAAATTTTAGATGACACAAACAAATGAAAAACATCCTATGCTCATGGATCAGAAGAATTAGTACTGTTGAAGTGACCACACTGCCCAAAGCAACCTATAGATTGAATGCAATATCTATCAAAATGCCCTGATTTTCACAGAATTGGAAAAAACTATCCTAAAATTCATATGGAACCAAAAAAGAGCTCAAATATCCAAAGCAATCCTAAGCAAAAAGAACAAAGCTGGGGGAATCACATCACCTAACTTCAAATTATACTATAAAGATATAGTAATCAAAACAGCATGAAACTGGTTTACAAATATACACATACATCAATGGAACAGAATTTAAAAACCCAGAAATAAAGCCACATTTTACAGCCAACTGATTTTGACAAAGTCAACAACAACATAGGGAAAGGACACACCAATTTTCATTGATAGACACATTTTACTAAGTTTCCATGCTATTATGTGAATCTTACCTAATTAAATTATTAGCTTTAATAGTGTACATAAACAAAAAAACTTTATTCCTTAAACCATAGTGCACAAAATAAAATATCAAATTTACATCCTTCTTTTCCAGACATGTTTTATTCCCAAAACTCACTTGTATGATGCTTTTGAGCAATGCTCTCCTCTCATTAAACAAAAAATGTGGCTAAAACTTGGACTCGCTATTACAGCCAGAAAAATCAGAGAACACTTATCTTATGAGGTAGGAAGTGCTTGTATAAACTTGTCTTTCTTTCTTTGAATGGAATGGCATTAAAACATTATAATTGACTATTTATGAATATATACTGAACTTCATAGACTAATAATAGACTGAAATTGTGTTTTCTAAAACAGGATTGGAACTACAATATGCAACTAAAGCTCTCTAATATTTATGTAGTAGATATACCAATGAGTACCAAAACTGATATTTATGATGAAAATCTAATCTATGTTATCCTCATACATGGAGCTGTAGAAGATTGTCTGTTACGAAAAACTTATAGAGCACCTTTCTTAATTCCTATAACATGCCATCAGGTAAAGAAATATTGATTCCTGTCTTCAGATCAATATGCCATATGTCCAACAATGTATTAACGTCAGAAAAACTGTCACTATAATCTTAAGCTTTTCATCTTCCAATCTTCTCCCTTTTCCCACCACTCCATAAACACTCACTCATACCCACAACCACACCCACATAGGCCCACACACACCAAGTTCATTGACTGCTTTGGCACTTGCTAGCCCAAGCACAAGCTATTCCCATCCAATGCCTATGAAGGCCAAGCTGGACATTTTGGTTACAGTTAGATTTTGGTACAGTTATTCATTGCAAAAGAGGGTGCATTTATTTTACTCACATGTTGCAGAAAAACTGTATCAACAATGCTCTAGAAAGGTTCTGCCAGACTGATGCTGAATTGAGTATTAGTAGTATTCCCACAGCTGCTTTGAAAGTGAATGTCTTCTCATATTTAAATTGCTAATTGAGTTCCCCTGCCAATCAAAATGAGAACCTGAGCCATGTAAAGAAGGAAAGAAGTGTGTGTGTGTGTGTGTGTGTGTGTGTGTGTGTGTGTGTGTGTGTGTATTGTTTTGTGTTGGGGGAGAATCAGAGAGGCACATGTCAATAGGAATCAGGGCACATAAAAGACACAGCTACAAAAAGTAATTCAAAGAGGACTCAGAGTTATTTAAAATATGCTGGAATACAGTGCTATATATTGAAATGATAAAAAAATGATACTTACAACTTATCCTCAAGAGATCTCTCAACCAAGTGAAAAGAAACAAATAAGTAAAGATATTAATAAGATGTTTTACAGCTAGGATAAAAGCACTTACAGGGTAGATTTTGGACATAAGAAAAAAGTGTAATGGGAATGGGAGGGATCCCAAGGTGAGAAAGGATCACAAGAAAATTTTCTAAGTGGACATCACCAGCACTGACATAATGCTTAATGAGAGGAAGTGAAACATTCTCCGCTACGCTGCTCTCTACCTCTATCCTTGAACATGTAACAGAGATTTGGTGTGGGTGCTTGTTGAGAATTTAGACAGCCAAGCAGGAGCCTGAAGCCTGATAAACTCTATCTACTTTCCTAGAAACAGAGCCCTACTCATTGTGGATTTGGGTACCAGTGTGATTCAAACTATATTGAAAACAACCACAAGGTGGAAGAATATTTTGAAATATTTCTATATGGCAGAAAGAAAGTTTAATGAAAAGAATATTTTGAAATACTCTTTTCATTAAACTTTCTTTCTGCCATGTGGAAAAAGTCTCTGGATGATTTTTAAAGGGCCATTGGTAATTCATTCTTAATTATTTTTTTCATATGGAATAGAAATATTTAAAAATCAATGAATGTATATGGAATAGTGACTTTTACAAAACCAACATATCCAAGTATTTTAAGATATTAATCTTATTTGTGTTGATTTGTTAATATTTTCCATTTTTCCCAGATACCTAGAGAAAGCCAGAAATAGCAGCTTACTAGGTAAATTTTTAATTGTAGGATATTTGCTCAGAAATTAACTTGCATTCTGTCAACTTTCAGATACAAAGTATTGAAGATTTCACAAAAGTAGTGATTATTCAAACTCCGATCAACATGAAAACATTCAGAAGGAATATTAGAAAGTTTGTTCCTAAACATAAAAGTTATCTTACACCAGGATTAATAGGTGAGTTAGACTTCTTTCAGCAATTGTGAAAACTTACTTTCCCTTTATAAAATAGCCATATGTGTATTTGGAAACTGTTGTTTGCATTCTGCCTAATATATTGAGGAATCCTTTTAACTGCCATATTTGCTATTCAATGTATGAGTTCAGACAGACAATATTGAAGTTACACTTTTAAATTATTATATATTTCATCCATAAGAACAAAAGTGCATAATTATCAAAATGATATGAAAAAAGGTTAATGAGGGAATTACTAGCTCTTCCCCAAAATTAAGATATGTTACATAGCAATAACAATAAAAAGAGCATTGTACTGTCTGAACAACAAACATAAATCACTGGAACTAGATGAATAATTTTGATATAAAGCCTATTCTTCTTACAGATTTTAATAGATAAAACTTTAATCATAACATATATGATTATTTAATCACTACTATTAAGACCATGGTTAAAATTTGAAAAATACTTTTGAGATAAATTTAAAAATTGAATTTTGAGATAAATATTAAAAATTTAAAAATTATTGAATAAGTAATAATAATAGAATTTAATTGATCAATTCATTAAAGGAGAAATAATGTTCAAAATATAGAAATATAGAAATCAATTTTAAAATCCTGTGTCTATAAAAAATATTACCAATCAAGAGATCAACCAAAGACAATTCACAGGTGAAAACTTGCACTGAAAACACAATGTGGGATTCTCTCTCCTGCTGCCCTGTGAAGAGGTGCTGTCCACCATGACTGTAAGTTTCTTGAGGCCTCCCCAGCCATGTGGAGCTCTCCAGCTCGAAGGATGCACATTTAACATTTAAAGAAATGCTAGACTCCAATCTACAGCTCCCAGCATGAGTGACGCAGAAGACGGGTGATTTCTGCATTTCCAACTGAGGTACCGGGTTCATCTCACTGGGGAGTGTCAGAAAGTGGGTGCAGGACAGTGGGTGCAGCGCACCAAGTGTGAGCTGAAGCAGGGCAAGGCATTGCCTCACCTGGGAAGCACAAGGGGTTAGGGAATTCCCTATCCTAGTCAAAGAAAGGGGTGACAGACGGCGCCTGGAAAATCGGGTCACTCCCACCCTAATACTGTGCTTTTCCAACGATCTTAGCAAACGGCACACCAGGAGATTATATCCAGCGCCTGGCTTGGAGGGTCCTACACCACGGAGCCTCACTCACTGCTAGCACAGCAGTCTGAGATCAAACTGCAAGGCAGCAACAAGGCTGGGGGAGGGGGACCCGCCATTGCTTAGGCTTGAGTAGGTAAACAAAGCGGCCAGGAAGATCGAACTGGGTGGAGCCCACTGCAGCTCAAGGAGGCCTGCCTGCTTCTGCAGATGCCACCTCTGGGGGCAGGACATTGCCAAACAAAAGGCAGCAGAATCCTCTGCAGACTTAAATGTCCCTCTCTGATAGCTTTGAAGAGAGTAGTGGTTCTCCTAGCACACAGCTGGACATCTGAGAATGGACAAACTGCCTCCTCAAGTGGGTCCCTGACCCCCGAGTAGCCTAACTGGGAGGCACCCCCCAGTAGGGACAGACTGACACCTCAAATGGCTAGGTACTCCTCTGAGACAAAACTTCCAGAGGAACGATCAGGTAGCAACATTTGCTGTTCACCAATATCCGCTGTTGTGCAGCCTCCACTGCTGATACCCAGGCAAACAGGGTCTGGAGTGGACCTCCAGCAAACTCCAACAGACCTGCAGCTGAGGGTCCTGACTGTTAGAAGGAAAAGTAACAAACACAAAGGACATCCACACCAAAACCCCATCTGTACGTCACCATCATTAAAGACCAAAGGTAGATAAAACCACAAAGATGGGGAAAAAACAGAGCAGAAAAACTGGAAACTCTAAATCAGAGTGCCTCTCCTTCTCTAAAGCAATGCAGCTCCTCACCAGCAATGGAACAAAGCTGGATGGAGAATGACTTTGACGAGTTGAGAGAAGACGGCTTCAGATGATCAAACATCTCTGAGCTAAAGGAGGAAGTTCGAACCCATGGCAAAGAAGTTAAAAACCTTGAAAAAACTTAGACGAATGGCTAACTAGAATAACCAATGCAGAGAAGTCCTTAAAGGACCTGAGGGAGCTGAAAACCATGGCACAAGAACTACGTGATGAACGCACAAGCCTCAGTAGCCGATTTGATCAACTGGAAGAAAGGATATCAGTGATGGAAGATCAAATGAATGAAATGAAGTGAGAAGAGAAGTTTAGAGAAAAAAGAATAAAAAGAAATGAATAAAGCCTCCAAGAAATATGGGACTATGTGAAAAGACCAAATCTACGTCTGATTGGTGTACCTGAAAGTGATGGGGAGAATGGAACCAAGCTGGAAAACACTCTGCAGGATATTATCCAGGAGAACTTCCCCAATCTAGCAGGGCAGCCAACATTCAAATTCACGAAATACAGAGAATGCCACAAAGATACTCCTCAAGAAGAGCAACTCCAAGACACATAATTGTCAGATTCACCAAAGTTGAAATGAAGGAAAAAAAGTTAACGACAGTCAGAGAGAAAGGTCAGGTTACCCACAAAGGGAAGCCCATCAGACTAATAGCGGACCTCTCAGGAGAAACTCTACAAGCAAGAAGAGAGTGGGGGCCAATATTCAACATTCTTAAAGAAAAGAATTTTCAACCCAGAATTTCATATCCAGCCAAACTAAGCTTCATAAGTGAAGGAGAAATAAAATCCTTTATAGACAAGCAAATGCTGAGAGATTTTGTCACCACCAGGCCTGCCCTAAAAGAGCTCCTGAAGGAAGCACTAAACATGGAAAGGAACAATCAGTACCAGCCACTGCAAAAACATGCCAAATTCTACAGATCATTGAAGCTAGGAAGAAACTGCATCAACTAATGAGCAAAATGAACAGCTAACATCATAATGACAGGATCAAATTCACACATAACAATATTAACTATAAATGTAAATGGGCTAAATGCTCCAATTAAAAGACACAGACTGGCAAATTGGATAAAGAGTCAAGACCCATCAGTGTGCTGTATTCAGGAAACCCACCTCACATGCAGAGACATATATAGGCTCAAAATAAAGGGATGCAGGAAGATCTACCAAGCAAATGGAAAACAAGAAAGGCAGGGTTGCAATCCTAGTCTCTGATAAAACAGACTTTAAACCAACAAAGATCAAAAGAGACAAAGACGGCCATTACATAATGGTAAAGGGATCAATTCAACAAGAAGAGCTAACTATCCTAAATATATATGCACCCAATACAGGAGCACCCAGATTCATAAAGCAAGTCCTTAGAGACCTACAAAGAGACTTAGACTCCCACACAATAATAAAGGGAGACTTTAACACCCCACTGCCAACATTAGACAGATCAATGAGACAAAAAGTTAACAAGGATATCCAGGAATTGAACTCAGCTGTGCACCAAGTGGACCTAATACACATCTACAGAACTCTGCACCCCAAATCAACAGAATATACATTCTTCTCAGCACCACACCACACTTATTCCAAAATTGACCACATAGTTGGAAGTAAAGCTCTCCTCAGCAAATGTAAAAGAACAGAAATTATAACAAACTATCTCTCGGACCACAGGGCAATCAAACTAGAACTCAGGATTAAGGAACTCACTCAGAACCGCTCAACTACATGGAAACTGAACAACCTGCTCCTGAATGACTACTGGGTACATAACGAAATGAAGGCAGAAATAAAGATGTTCTTTGAAACCAATGAGAACAAAGACACAACATACCAGAATCTCTGGGACACATTCAAAGCAGTGTGTAGAGGGAAATTTATAGCACTAAATGACCACAAGAGAAAGCAGGAAAGATCTAAAATTGACACCCTAACATCACAATTAAAAGAAATACAGAAGCAAGAGCAAACACATTCAAAAGCTAGCAGAAGGCAAGAAATAACTAAGATCAGAGCAGAACTGAAGGAAATAGAGACACAAAAAATCCTCCAAAAACTCAATGAATCCAGGCACTGCTTTTTGAAAATATCAACAAAATTGATAGACTGCTAGCAAGACAAATAAAGAAGAAAAGACAGAAGAATCAAATAGATGCAATAAAAAATGATAAAGGGGATATCACTACAGATCCCACAGAAATACAAACTACCATCAGAGAATACTGTAAACAACTCTATGCAAATAAACTAGAAAATCTACAAGAAATGGATAAATTCCTCGACACATACACCCTCCCAAGACTAAACCAGCAAGAAGTTGAATCTCTGAATAGACCAATAACAGGCTCTGAAATTGAGGCAATAATCAATAGCTTACCAACCAAAAAAAGTCCAGGACCAGAAGGATTCACAGCCGAATTCTACCAGAGGTACAAGGAGGAGCTGGTACCATTCCTTCTGAAACTATTCCAATCAATAGAAAAAGAGGGAATCCCCCCTAACTCATTTTATGAGGCCAGCATCATCCTAATACCAAAGCATGGCAGAGACACAACAAAAAAGAGAATTTTAGACCAATATCCCTGATGAACATAGATGCAAAAATCCTCAATAAAATACTGGCAAACCAAATCCAGCAGCACAATAAAAAGCTTATCCACCATGATCAAGTGGGCTTCATCCCTGGGATGCAAGGCTGGTTCAACATATGCAAATCAATAAACATAATCCAGCATATAAACAGAGACAATGACAAAAACCATATGATTATCCCAATAGATGCAGAAAAGGCCTTCAACAAAATTAAACAGCCCTTCATGCTAAAAACTCTCAAAAAATTAGGTATTGATGGGATGTATTTCAAAATAATAAGAGCTATCTACGACAAACCCACAGCCAATATCATACTGAATGGGCAAAAACTGGAAGCATTCCCTTTGAAAACTGGCACAAGACAGGGATGCCCTCTCTCACCATTCCTATTCAACATAGTGTTGGAAGTTCTGGCCAGGGCAATCAGGCAGGAGAAGGAAATAAAGGGTAGTCAATTAGGAAAAGAGGAAGTCAAATTGTCCCTGTTTGCAGATGACATGACTGTATATCTAGAAAACCCCGTCATCTCAGCCCAAAATCTCCTTAAGCTGATAGGCAACTTCAGCAAAGTCTCAGGATACAAAATCAATGTGCAAAAATCACAAGCATTCTTATACACCAACAACAGACAAACAGAGAGCCAAATCATGAGTGAACTCCCATTCACAATTGCTTCAAAGAGAATAAAGTACCTAGGAATCCAACTTACAAGGGACGTGAAGGACCTCTTCAAGGAGAACTACAAACCACTGCTCAATGAAATGAAAGAGGATACAAACAAATGGAAGGACATTCCATGCTCATGGGTAGGAAGAATCAATATCATGAAAATGGCCATACCGCCCAAGGTAATTTATAGATTCAATGTCATCCCCACCAAGCTACCAATGCCTTTCTTCACAGAATTGGAAAAAACTACTTTAAAGTTCATATGGAACCATAAAAGGTACCACATTGCCAAGTCAATCCTAAGCCAAAAGAACAAAGCTGGAGGCATCATGCTACCTGACTTCAAACTATACTACATGGCTACAGTAACCAACACAGCATGGTACTCGTACCAAAACAGAGATATAGACCAATGGAACAGAACAGAGCCCTCAGAAATAATGCCACGTATCTACAACTATCTGATCTTTGACAAACCTGACAAAAACAAGAAGTGGGGAAAGGATTCCCTATTTAACAAATGGTGCTGGGAAAACTGGCTAGCCATATGTAGAAAGCTGAAACTGGATCCCTTCCTTACATCTTATACAAAAATTAATTCAAGATGGATTAAAGACTTAAATGTTAGGCCTAAAACCATACAAACCCTAGAAGAAAACCTAGGCAATACCATTCAGGACATAGGCATGGGCAAGGACTTCATGTCTAAAACACCAAAAGCAATGGCAACAAAAGACAAAATTGACAAATGGGATCTAATTAAACTAAAGAGCTTCTGCACAGCAAAAGAAACTACCATCAGAGTGAACAGGCAACCTACAAAATGGGAGAAAATTTTTGCAATCTACTCATCTGACAAAGGGCTAATATCCAGAATCTACAATGAATTCAAACAAATTTACAAGAAAAAAACAAACAACCCCATCAAAAAGTGGGCAAAGGATATGAACAGATACTTCTCAAAAGAAGACATTTATGCAGCCAACAGATACATGAAAAAATGCTCATCATCACTGGTCATCAGAGAAATGAAAATCAACACCACAATGAGATACCATCTCAAGCCAGTTAGAATGGCGATCATTAAAAAGTCAGGAAACAACAGGTGCTGGAGAGGATGTGGAGAAATAGGAACACTTTTACACTGTTGGTGGGACTGTAAACTAGTTCAACCATTGTGGAAGTCAGTGTGGCGATTCCTCAGGGATCTAGAACTAGAAATACCATTTGACCCAGCCATCCCATTACTGGGTATATACCCAAAGGACTATAAATCATGCTTCTATAAAGACACATGCACACGTATGTTTACTGTGGCACTATTCACAATAGCAAAGACTTGGAACCAACCCAAATGTCCAACAATGATAGACTGGATTAAGGAAATGTGGCACATATACACCATGGAATACTATGCAGCCATAAAAATGATGAGTTCATGTCCTTTGTAGGGACATGGATGAAGCTGGAAATCATCATTCTCAGCAAACTATCGCAAGGACAAAAAACCAAACACTGCATGTTCTCACTCATAGGTGGGAATTGAACAGTGAGAACACATGGACACAGAAAGGGGAACATCACACACCAGGGCCTGTTGTGGGGTGGGGAGTGGGGGGAGGGAATAGCATTTGGAGATATGCCTAATGTTAAATGACGAGTTACTGGGTGCAGCACACCAACATGGCACATGCATACATATGTAACTAACCTGCACGTTGTGCACATGTACCCTAAAACTTAAAGTATAATAATTAAAAAAAAGAAAACACAATGTGGAAAATGTTCAACGTTGTTAATGTTTACAGAAACAAATTATGTATTTGGTCTATTTGATTTGTGAAATTTTATAAGAATTATAATACCTCTCAACCAAAAGCAATGTAGTGAATTTGATACATATTCTTACTTTACTAATAGCAATGTAAACAATAAAGTAAATTTATCAGGAGATTCCAAAAGACATAAAAGTGTTTACACCCTTTGACTAAATAATATGATATCTAAATGTTTATCCTAAAGATATAAAGCTAAAAAAGAAAATGATAATTGAGCATATTTTAAAAATGAAACATAAGAAATAATAAAAATGTATAATGATGAATGAATGGTTAACTAAATCAGTACATCAGTCAACGTGATTGAATGTTATGTAAGCATTAAAAACTTGATTTTCCATATTATAACTTTTGAAAAACCAGTGATGCAAGGAAAGAAATAGCAGACACTGGGGTCTACTTGAAGGAGGAGGATGAGAGGAAGGAGAGGAGCAGAAAAGATAACTATTGGGTACTAGGCTTAATGCCTGGGTGATGAAATAATATACACAACAAACTTCTGTGACAACGTGTTTACATATGTAATAAACTCTTCACATGTACCCCCAAACCTAAACTAAAAGTTAAAGAAAAACCAGTGATATACATCAAGTAAAAATACCAAGAATATAACATTATATTACTAACGTAAATGAGTTTAATCTTTATTACGTACAATCATATAATTTTGCATCAATGTGGACACAAAATACTGCCATTGTATGGGTCCCCATTGACCTTAAGATTAAGCATATACAGAGTGGCATAACCAAGATAATGGAATAGAAGGTAATCCATTCATATATCCCACGAAAAAGAAATTCTGTACCCATACATGGCCCAAAGCCTCTCTGCAGGAGCCTCAAAATTTAGATAGGAGTTTGTAAAGTCTTCACGTAGCTCACAACCTAGGAGCATCATTTTGAGAAGCAGATTGACTCCAGGTAGTTGATACTACAAGCTTGCTTCCACATTCAAGTCTTGAAATTGTCCTGTCCTCCAAGGGGCTTGGCTCCTTCCTCATTTGGTCTTGAGCCTGCAACCAAAACCATCTGTCAAGGGATCCAAGATGTATCATGCATACTTGTGCCTTGGCAGAGAAACTCATCTGCCTGCTAACATCTATCTCAGTGATGAACCTGAAAGTTTCCTTGTGGTTTAGCTTCAACCACTCTCAGCTGAGGTCACAGCTCAGAGCTGCTCACACAAGGATCCAGAGAGAGAATCACCCATATCACACAACCTGGGAGTCTGAGCCTCCCTGACAGGCTTGCCGAACTCCAACTCACAGCAGATCCTGATGGCACCAAGTCTCAGGTCTGGCTCCTCCCACTGCAACCAGTAAACTATCCCATCTGTGCTGAAACCTGCAAGGCATGCCCCTCTGAAGCAATAAGACAAGACTCTCCAGTCTGTGTCCCACAGCAGATCCCAAATCAACCCAATCTGAGCTCCAGCCCTTCTTGCTGCAGTCAGGGAACTATCCCATCTGTTCAGAGACCTACTGGGAAACACATACCTATCTGAACTGATGTGACAGGCATGCCAGCCTCCATCTCACAGCCGATCCCCAGAGGGCTCTGTCTCAACTTTGTCCCCTCCTACTACATCAGGGAGCTATCCTATCTGTGCTGGGTAATGTGCACTACTCTGAAGCAAGACTGACCTCTCCAGCCTCTGTTCCACAGCAGATCCTGAGGGGACAGTCTCAGCTCTGGCTCCTCCAGCTACAGTCAAGGAACTGCCTTGTTTGTGCAGGCACCTGCTGGGTGATGCATGCCCATCTAAGCCAACAATACAGGCCTATCAACCTCCTTTCTCTGGCAGATCACAAGGGGGCCCAGCCTCAACTTCAACTCCTCTCACTGCAATCAGGGACCCAACATATCCATGCAGAGATGGGCAGAGAGTCACATCCATCTGGGCCATTGGGACAGTCTTCTGAACTCAGATTCCAGACCAGCAGTCCCACACAACCCCAGAACCCTCCCTGGGTCTTCCCCAGGTCCATCTGGGCCTTAAAACCAAATCAACCTTGAAATCCTTGTGAGAATCTTGGTAAGCCTGGGCTTAGAGCATCCTCTAGTGCTGAGAGGGCTGCAGTGATCACAGATTCAGGTAACTAAACAATCAGTCTGCCAGAATCCATGGAAGGCTCTCCAAAGACAGACAGGGACAGGCAAAGGCAAACTGTGGAGACTAAAATAAATACCTAATCCCTCAATGTACATGTCCACAAGCATCAAGAATATTTAGAGAAATATGACCTCACCAAATGCACAAAATAAGATGTCAGAAACCAACCCTAAAGTGATGGAGATGTGTGATCTCTCAAAGAATTCAAAAAAACATTATAAGGAAACTCTCTGAACTTCAAGAAAACACAGAATGAATTCAGAAATTTATCAATGAAATTTAACAGAAATCAAAATTTTTAAAAATCAAACAGAAGTCCTAAAGCTGAAAAATAAAATTAATGAAATACCATCAACAGCAGAATTGATAAAATAGAAGAAGGAATCAGTGAAGTTGAAGACAGTCCATTTGAAAATAGAGTCAGAGGAGAAAAAGAATTAAAAAAAGAATAAAGATATCTTACAAGGTCTAGGTGACAACATCAAAAGAACAAATATTTTGGTTTTTGAAGTTAAAAAGGGAACTGAGAAAGAAAGAGTTGTATAAAGTTTGTTTTAATAAATAACAGAAATCTTTACAAACCTGGACAAGGAGATAAATATCTAGATACAAAAAGATTAAGTCATCAATCAGATTTAACTCAAATAAGAATACCCCAAAACATTATAATCAGGTACTCAAAAGCCAAAGATAAAGAAAGGAAAAGGGACTTTTGAGCAAAAGCAATGAGGAAAAAATAGAAGGAAATAATATGTAAGGGAAATCCAATATGCCTGAAAGCAGACTTCTCAACAGAAACCTCACAGGCCAGGAGGAGTAGAAAGATATATTCAAAGTGCTGAAGAAAAAAAAAAATCTGCCAAGCACGAAAACTGTACTCAGAAAAGCTAAACTTCAGAAAGAAAGGAGAAATAAGGACTTTCCCAGACCAAAAAAAAACTTGAGGGGATTTATCACTACCAGACCTGTCCTATAAGAAATGCTAAAGGAAATTCTTCAAATGGAAAGAAAATTATATCAATGTGATTGTTACACTAATATGGTAATCATGGTGTGTGAATCACTTATATCCCTACTAAGAAGAACAAAAGACAAAATATTTAAGATAATACTAACTACAACAATTTTAAAGAGATAAGCAATATAAAATGCAAGTTGTGACATTAAAAATCAAAATGTGGGGTAAGTTGGGAATTAATGTGTACAGATGTCTTTGTTTGTGTGTTTGTTTCTTCTGTCTCTTTTTTGCAGTCAAAGTTAAGTTGGTATTAGTTTTAAATAACTTATTGAGGGCTGTGAGCCAAGATTCGGAACAGCTCCAGTCTACAGCTCCCAGCATGAGCGACACAGAAGACGGGTGATTTCTGCATTTCCATCTGAGGTACCGGGTTCATCTCACTAGGGAGTGCCAGACAGTGGGCACAGGTCAGTGGGTGCGCACACCGTGTGCGAGCCGAAGCAGGGCGAGGCATTGCCTCACTCAGGAAGTGCAAGGGGTCAGGGAGTTCCCTTTCCTAGTCAGAGAAAGGGGTGACGGACGGCACCTGGAAAATTGGGTCACTCCCACCCGAATACTGCGCTTTTCCGACGGGCTTAAAAACCGGCATACCACGAGATTATATCCCGCACCTGGCTCGGAGGGTCCTACGCCCATGGAGTCTCGCTGATTGCTAGCACAGTAGTCTGTGATCAAACTGCAAGGCGGCAGCGAGGCTGGGGGAGGGGCGCCCGCCATTGCCCAGGCTTGCTTAGGTAAACAAAGCAGCTGGGAAGCTCGAACTGGGTGGAGCCCACCACAGCTCAAGGAGGCCTGCCTGCCTCTGTAGGCTCCACCTCTGAGGGCAGGGCACAGACAAACAAAAAGACAGCAGTAACCTCTGCAGACTTAAATGTCCCTGTCTGACAGCTTTGAAGAAAGCAGTGGTTCTCCCAGTACGCAGCTGGAGATCTGAGAAGGGGCAGACTGCCTCCTCAAGTGAGTGCCTGACCCTGACCCCCGAGCAGCCTAACTGGGAGGCATCCCCCAACAGGGGCACACTGACACCTCACATGGCAGGGTATTCCAACAGACCTGCAGCTGAGGGTCCTGTCTGTTCGAAGGAAAACTAACAAACAGAAAGGACATCCACACCAAAAACCCATCTGTACATCACCATCATCAAAGACCAAAAGTAGATAAAACCACAAACATGGGGAAAAAACAGAACAGAAAAACTGGAAACTCTAAAAAGCAGAGGGCCTCTCCTCCTCCAAAGGAACGCAGTTCCGCACCAGCAACGGAACAAAGCTGGATGGAGAATGACTTTGACGAGCTGAGAGTAGAAGGCTTCAGACAATCAAATTACTCTGAGCTATGGGAGGACATTCAAACCAAAGGCAAAGAAGTTGAAAACTTTGAAAAAAACTTAGAAGAATGTATAACTAGAATAACCAATATAGAGAAGTGCTTAAAGGAGCTGATGGAGCTGAAAACCAAGGCTCGAGAACTACGTGAAGAATGCAGAAGCCTCAGGAGCCGATGCGATCAACTGGAAGAAAGGGTATCAGCGACGGAAGATGAAATGAATGAAATGAAGCGAGAAGGGAAGTTTAGAGAAAAAAGAATAAAAAGAAATGAGCAAAGCCTCCAAGAAATATGGGACTATGTGAAAAGACCAAATCTACGTCTGATTGGTGTACCTGAAAGTGATGGGGAGAATGAAACCAAGTTGGAAAACACTCTGCAGAATATTATCCAGGAGAACTTCCCCAATCTAGCAAGGCAGGCCAACGTTCAGATTCAGGAAATACAGAGAACACCACAAAGATACTCCTCGAGAAGAGCAACTCCAAGACACATAATTGTCAGATTCACCGAAGTTGAAATGAAGGAAAAAATGTTAAGGGCAGCCAGAGAGAAAGGTCGGGTTACCCTCAAAGGGAAGCCCATCAGACTAACAGCGGATCTCTCGGCAGAAACCCTACAAGGCAGAAGAGAGTGGGGGCCAATATTCAACATTCTTAAAGAAAAGAATTTTCAACCCAGAATTTCATATCCAGCCAAACTAAGCTTCATAAGTGAAGGAGAAATAAAATACTTTACAGACAAGCAAATGCTGAGAGATTTTGTCACCACCAGGCCTGCCCTAAAAGAGCTCCTGAAGGAAGCGCTAAACATGGAAAGGAACAACCGGTACCAGCTGCTGCAAAATCATGCCAAAATGTAAAGACCATCGAGACTAGGAAGAAACTGCATCCACTAACGAGCAAAATAACCAGCTAACATCATAATGACAGGATCAAATTCACACAAAACAATATTAACTTTAAATGTAAATGGACTAAGTGCTCCAATTAAAAGACACAGACTGGCAAATTGTATAAAGAGTCAAGACCCATCAGTGTGCTGTATTCAGGAAACCCAACTCACGTGCAGAGACACACATAGGCTCCAAATAAAAGGATGGAGGAAAATCTACCAAGCAAATGGAAAACAAAAAAAGGCAGGGGTTGCAATCCTAGTCTCTGATAAAACAGACTTTAAACCAACAAAGATCAAAAGAGACAAAGAAGGCCATTACATAATGGTAAAGGGATAAATTCAACAAGAAGAGCTAACTATCCTAAATATATATGCACCCAACACAAGTGCACCCAGATTCATAAAGCAAGTCCTGAGTGACCTACAAAGAGACTTAGACTCCCACACATTAATAATGGGAGACTTTAACACCCCACTGTCAACATTAGACAGATCAACGAGACAGAAAGTCAACAAGGATACCCAGGAATTGTACTCAGCTCTGCACCAAGAGGACCTAATAGACATCTACAGAACTCTCCACCCCAAATCAACAGAATATACATTTTTTTCAGCACCACACCACACCTATTCCAAAATTGACCACATACTGGGAAGTAAAGCTCTCCTCAGCAAATGTAAAAGAACAGAAATTATAACAAACTGTCTCTCAGACCACAGTGCAATCAAACTAGAACTCAGGATTAAGAATCTCACTCAAAACCGCTCAACTATATGGAAACTGAACAACCTGCTCCTGAATGACTACTGGGTACATAACGAAATGAAGGCAGAAATAAAGATGTTCTTTGAAACCAACGAGAACAAAGAGACAACATACCAGAATCTCTGGGACGCATTCAAAGCAGTGTGTAGAGGGAAATTTATAGCACTAAATGCCCACAAGAGAAAGCAGGAAAGATCCAAAATTGACACCCTAACATCACAATTAAAAGAACTAGAAAAGCAAGAGCAAACATATTCAAAAGCTAGCAGAAGGCAAGAAATAACTAAAATCAGAGCAGAACTGAAGGAAATAGAGACACAAAAAACCCTTCAAAAAATTAATGAATCCAGGAGCTGGTTTTTTGAAAGGATCAACAAAATAGATAGACCGCTAGCAAGACTAATAAAGAAAAAAGAGAGAAGAATCAAATAGACGCAATAAAAAATGATAAAGGGGATATCACCACCGATCCCACAGAAATACAAACTACCATCAGAGAATACTACAAACACCTCTACGCAAATAAACTAGAAAATCTAGAAGAAATGGATAAATTCCTCGACACATACACTCTCCCAAGACTAAACCAGGAAGAAGTTGAATCTCTGAATAGACCAATAACAGGAGCTGAAATTGTGGCAATAATCAATAGCTTACCAACCAAAAAGGGTCCAGGACCAGATGGATTCACAGCCGAATTCTACCAGAGGTACAAGGAGGAACTGGTACCATTCCTTCTGAAACTATTCCAATCAATAGAAAAAGAGGGAATCCTCCCTAACTCATTTTATGAGGCCAGCATCATTCTGATACCAAAGCCGGGCAGAGACACAACCAAACAAGAGAATTTTAGACCAATATCCTTGATGAACATTGATGCAAAAATCCTCAATAAAATACTGGCAAAATGAATCCAGCAGTACATCAAAAAGATAATCCACCATGGTCAAGTGGGCTTCATCCCTGGGATGCAAGGCTGGTTCAATATACGCAAATCAATAAATGTACTCCAGCATATAAACAGAGCCAAAGACAAAAACCACATGATTATCTCAATAGATGCAGAAAAGGCCTTTAACAAAATCCAACAACCCTTCATGCTAAAAACTCTCAATAAATTCGGTATTGATGGGACGTATTTCAAAATAATAAGAGCTATCTATGACAAACCCACAGCCAATATCATACTGAATGGGCAAAAACTGGAAGCATTCCCTTTGAAAACTGGCACAAGACAGGGATGCCCTCTCTCACCACTCCTATTCAACACAGTGTTGGAAGTTCTGGCCAGGGCAATTAGGCAGGAGAAGGAAATAAAGGGTAGTCAATTAGGAAAAGAGGAAGTCAAATTGTCCCTGTTTGCAGATGACATGATTGTATATCTAGATAACCCCATTGTCTCAGCCCAAAATCTCCTTAAGCTCATAAGCAACTTCAGCAAAGTCTCAGGATACAAAATCAATGTGCAAAAATCACAAGCATTCTTATACACCAACAACAGACAAACAGAGAGCCAAATCATGAGTGAACTGCCATTCACAAGTGCTTCAAAGAGAATAAAATACCTAGGAATCCAGCTTACAAGGGACGTGAAGGACCTCTTCACGGAGAACTACAAACCACTGCTCAAGGAAATAAAAGAGGATACAAACAAATGGAAGAACATTCCATGCTCATGGGTAGGAAGAATCAATATCGTGAAAATGGCCATACTGCCCAAGGTAATTTACAGATTCAATGCCATCCCCATCAAGCTACCAATGACTTTCTTCACAGAATTGGAAAAACTACTTTAAAGTTCATATGGAACCAAAAAAGAGCCCGCATCGCCAAGTCAATCCTAAGCCAAAAGAACAAAGCTGGAGGCATCACGCTACCTGACTTCAAACTATACTACAAGGCTGCAGTAACCAAAACAGCATGGTACTGGTACCAAAACAGAGATATAGATCAATGGAACAGAACAGAGCCCTCAGAAATAACGCCACATATCTACAACTATCTGATCTTTGACAAACCTGAGAAAAATAAGCAATGAGGAAAGGATTCCCTATTTAATAAATGGTGCTGGGAAAACTGGCTAGCCATATGTAGAAAGCTGAAACTGGATCCCTTCCTTACACCTTATACAAAAATCAATTCACAATGGATTAAAGACTTAAACGTTAGACCTAAAACCATAAAAACCCTAGAAGAAAACCTAGGCATTACCATTCAGGACATAGGCATGGGCAAGGACTTCATGTCTAAAACACAAAAAGCAATTGCAACAAAAGCCAAAATTGACAAATGGGATCTAATTAAACTAAAGAGCTTCCGCACAGCAAAAGAAACTACCATCAGAGTGAACAGGCAACCTACAAAATGGGAGAAAATTTTCGCAACCTACTCATCTGACAAAGGGCTAATATCCAGAATCTACAATGAACTCAAACAAATTTACAAGAGAAAAACAAACAACCCCATCAAAAAGTGGGTGAAGGACATGAACAGACACTTCTCAAAAGAAGAAATTTATGCAGCCAAAAAACACATGAAAAAATGCTCATCATCACTGGTCATCAGAGAAATGCAAATCAAAACCACAATGAGATACCATCTCACACCAGTTAGAATGGCAATCATTAAAAAGTCAGGAAACAACAGGTGCTGGGGAGGATGTGGAGAAATAGGAACACTTTTGCACTGTTGGTGGGACTGTAAACTAGTTCAACCATTGTGGAAGTCAGTGTGGCAATTCCTCAGGGATCTAGAACTAGAAATACCATTTGACCCAGCCATCCCATTACTGGGTATATACCCAAAGGACTATAAATCATGCTACTATAAAGACACATGTACACGTATGTTTATTGCGGCATTATTCACAATAGCAAAGACTTGGAACCAACCCAAATGTCCAACAATGATAGACTGGATTAAGGAAATGTGGCACATATACACCATGGAATACTATGCAGCCATAAAAAATGATGAGTTCATGTCCTTTGTGGGGACATGGATGAAATTGGAAATCATCATTCTCAGTAAACTATCGCAAGAACAAAAAACCAAACACCGCATACTCTCACTCATAAGTGGGAATTGAAAAATGAGATCACATGGACACAGGAAGGGGAACATCACACTCTGGGGACTGTTGTGGGTGGGGGGAGGGGGAAGGGATAGCATTGGGAGATATACCTAATGCTAGATGACAAGTTAGTGGGTGCAGCACACCAGCATGGCACATGTACACATATGTAACTAACCTGCACAATGTGCACATGTACCCTAAAACTTAAAGTATAATAATAAAAGAAAAAAACTTAAAAAATAAATAAATAAAAATAAAAAATAAATACAAAATAAATAAATAAATAACTTATTTAAAACGTACTACCAGAAAAAAATAACTAAACACAATGGAAGATAGTAAGAAAGGAAGAAAGAAAGAGAATAGTTACAAAACAACTAGAAAACAGGTAAGACAATGGCAGTAGTAAGTCCCTACCTATTAGTAGTAACAATGAATGTAAATGGACTACATTCTCCAATTAAAAGATAAAGCATGGCTTAATAAATTAAAAAAATAAAACCCAACTATATGCTGCCTATGAGAAGAACTCTTTGCCTATAAAAATACATGTACACTGAAAATGAGAGGATAGTATAAAATATTCCATGCAAACAGAAACCAAAAGAGGAAGAATAGCTAAACTTATATCAGATAAAATGGACCTTAAATCGAAATCTTTACCAAAAAAAGAACAAAAAAGGTCATTATATAATAAAAAAGGGTCAATTAAACAAGAGGATATAACAATTGTCAATATACGTATGCGCTAAACATCAGAGTCCCCAGATATGTAAAGCAAATATTAAGAGATCTAAAGGGAGAGGTGGACTGCAATAAAATAGTAGTAGGGGACTTCAACACCCCAGTTACAGCAATGGGCAGATTATGAAGACAGAAAATAAACAAACGTTGGAGTTAAACTAGACCCTACACCAAATGAGCCTAACAGACATTTACAGAGTATTTCATTCAACTGCTGCAGAATATACATTTTTCTTATCAGCACATGGAATATTCTCCAGGATAGGCCACATGTTAAGCCACAAAACAAGTCTCAATAATTTTTAAAAAGTCAAAACTATATCAAATATCTTTTATGACCACAATGGGATAAAACTAGAAATCAATCAGAGGAGGAACTATGGAAACTGACCCCAATGGGATAAAACCAGAAATCAATCAGAGGAGGAACTTTGGAAACTATGAAAGTTTTTTTAAATACGTGAAATTTAAAAAAACTTGCACCTAGATGACCAATGGGTCAATTTAGAAATTAAAGGAAACATTTTTTTTAATTTATTGAAATAAATGAAAATGGGAACACAAAATTCCAGAGCCTATGAGATATAGCAAAACCAATACTAAGTGGGAAGTCTATAGCAATAAATACCCACACCCCCAAAATAGAAACTCTTAAAAAAAAATCTAATGACACACCTCAGGGAACTTGAAAGCAAGAACAAACCAAACCCAAAATTAGTAGAAGAGAATAAATAATAAATGAGCAGAAATAAATAAAATTGGAAATAATAATGATTTTAAAAGTTGGCAAAAATATTTTTTTTAAAAAAGATAATTAACAAAACCTTATCTAGACTAAGAAAAAGAGATAAACCCCAGATCAATAAAACCAGAAGTTAAAAAGTAAAGATTGCAACCGATACCACAGAAATACAAAGGATCATCATAGACTACTATGAAAAATTATACACGAACAAATTGGAAAACCTAGAAGAAATGGATAAATTCCTGGACACATACAACCTATCAAAATTGAAACATGAAGAAATAGAACACCTGTACAGACCCATAACACATAACAAGATCAAAGCCATAATAAAAAGTCTCCCATTAAAGAAAACCCAGGATCTAATGGGTTCACTACTGAATTGTAATGAATATTTAAATAATAACTAATATCAATTCTACTTAAACTATTTCAAAAAATTGAAGAGAAAGAAATACTTTTAAATTTATTCTACTAGGCCAGCATCATCCTGATACCAAAAGCAGACAAGGACACAGGAAAAATAGAAAACTATAGGCCAATATCCTTGATCAACAGAGATGCAAAAATCCTCAACAAAATACTAGCAAACCAAATTCAACAATACATTAAAAAGGTCATTCATCATGTTCAAGTGGGATTCATCTCAAGGATGCAAAGATGGTTCAACATATGCAAATCAATAAATGTGATGTATTACATCAACAGAATCAAGGATGAAAACCCTATGATCATTTCAGTAAATGCAGAATAAGTATTCAATAAAATTCAACATCCTTTCATAATAAAAATCATCAACAAATTGAATATAGAAGGAACATACCTCAACACAATAAATGTGACATATGTGGCAAACCCTCAACTAATAACATATTAAAGAGGAAAGAATTTTAAAAAGCTTTTCCACTAAGATCTGGAGCAAAACAAGGATGTCCACTTTTATCACTATTCAACATAGTACTTGTGGTCCAAGCCAGAGCAATTAGGCGAGGGAAAAAATAAAGGCATCCAACTTGGAAAGGAAGAAGTCAAAGTATTCTCGTTTGCAGATGACATAATAGCATACTTAGAAAAACCTAAGGACTCCACACCAAAAACTCTTAAAACTGATAAATCCAGCAAAGTTGCAGGATACAAAATCAACATACAAAAAGTCAGTAGCATTTATATAGGCTAACAGTGATCAGTCTGAAAAAGAAATGAAGAAAGCAATCCTATTTACAATAGCTACAAAAAAAAATACCTAGGAATAAATTTAACTTAAGAAGTGAAAGATCGCTACAAGAAAAACTATAAAACACTGTTGAAAGAAATCAAAGAAGGCACACAAAAAATTAAAAGATATTCCATGTTCATAGATTGGAATAATTAATGTTGTTAAAGTGGTCTATACTACCCAAAGCAATCTATAAATCCAATGCAAGGCCTATCAAAATACCAACAAGCATTCTCCACAGACATAGAAAAAAAATCCTAAAATCCATAGGGAACCACAAAAGACCCTGAATAGCCACAGCAGTCTTGAGCAAAAAGAACAAAACCAGAGGCATCACATTACCCGATTTCAAACTATACTACAAAGCTACAATTACCAAAATAGCATGGTGCTGGCATAAAAACAGACACATAGATCAATGGAGCAGAATAAAGAACCCAGAAATAAATCCATGCACTGATAGCCAACTCGTTTTCAACAAAAGCACCAAGAACATACATTGGGGAAAGGACAGTCTCTTTAATAATTGGTGCTAGAAAAACTGGACATCCATATGCAGAAGAATGAAACAAGTTTCCCATCTATTACCATATAGAAAAAAACAACTCAAAATGGATTAGAGACTTAAATTTAAGACCTAAAACTGTAAAACTACAAAAAAAAGTTGGGAAAATGCTATAGGACATTGGCCTGAATATTTTTTTGCCTAAGGCCACAAAAGAACAGACAACCAAAGCCAAAATAAACAAGTGGGATTATATCAAGCTAAAAAGCTTCTGCACAACAAAGGAAACAGTCTACAAAGTGAAGAGACAACCTACAGAATAACAGAAAATATTGGCAAACTATTCATCTGACATGGTATTAATAACCAGAATATATAAGGAACATAATTCAATAGCAAAAACACAAGTACTTGATTTTTAAATACACAAAAGATCTGAAGAGACATTTATCAAAAGAAGACATGCAAATGACCAACAGATAGACGAAAAAATGCTCAACTTCACTAAAAATAGAGAAATGCAAATCAAAACCACAATGAGATATCATTTCACCTTAGTTAGAATGACTACTGTCAAAAAGACAAAAAATTTAAAATACTGGCAAATACACCAAGAAAGGGGAACACCTGTACACTATTGGTGGAGATGTAAAGTAGTACAGCCATTATGGAAAACTGTACAGTGTTTCTTTAAAAAAAAATAAACTAAAACGAGAATTACCATATGATCTAGCAATCCCACTGCTGGGTATATATTCAAAAGAAATAAAATCAGTATGTTGAAGCGATGTCTTCACTCCCATGTTTATTGCAGCACTGTTCATAACACCCAAGATATGAAATCAACATAAGTGTTCATCAACAAATGGATAAAGAAAATGCAGTGTGTATATGTGTGTATGTGTGTATATACACAATGGAATATTATCTAGCCATTAAAAAAACAATAAAATTCTCTCATTTGCTGCAATGTGTTTGAAACTAGAGGTCATTATCTTAAGCTAAATAATCCAGGCACAGAAAGACAAATGCGACATGTTCTCATTCATATGTGGGCACTAAAAAAGTGGATCTCATAGAAGTATAGAGTACCATGATAGTTGTCAAAGACTGAGAAGGAAAGGGAAAGGAGATGATGAAGAATAGTTGACTAAGGGGTACACAAAAATACAGTTAGAGGGGAAAAGTTCTAGTATTCAATAGTACGGTAATCATAGTTAAAAAAATATTGTATATTTCCAAATAGCCAGAAGAGAAGAATTGTAATCTTCCCAACACAAAAAAAAGATAAATGTTTGAGGTGATGGTTATCCCAATTATTCTGATTTGATCTTTACCCACTGTATACAGGCATCAAAATATTATATGTACCCCCAAAATATGTACAGCTAATATATATCAATAAAA
The DNA here is from genome assembly GCF_000001405.40 of Homo sapiens. Classification (NCBI taxonomy): domain Eukaryota; kingdom Metazoa; phylum Chordata; class Mammalia; order Primates; family Hominidae; genus Homo; species Homo sapiens. The sequence continues at coordinate 39,160 of NW_019805492.1, read as the reverse complement.
TATTTAAATTGTCAAAAAAATTAAAATAAAATACCTTGATTCTCTGCTTTTAAAAATGATTAAGCATATACAGGGCATGGTTTTGGGCCCTTCACCGTCTGCTCTTTCACCTGCTACCTCCTCTCCCCACACTTTAAAACCTAGCCATACCAAACTACAAATGGTTCACCTGATATAAAAGACCTGGTGGCCTCCCATTCCTGAGCGTTTCCCCATATTGTTCATTTTTCCTGAAATTCTCTATACATCCTCTTCCCCACATCTCCTCATTTCATGGAGCTAACTCCTTATCCTTGAAATCTCAGCTTTTTCTCCAAGCAGCCATCACTGATACATCCCAAATTCACAAAACTGCGCTATGTGACTCTCCTGCATGCTCCAATAGCCCAACATACACACAGTCCTGTTTTTACCACGTCATATTTCTTTGTATGTTTGCTAGTCTGTCTGTTTTACTAACTTAAAACTCCTAGAAGACATGGATCTTAATTCTTTTGCTTTCTTATGTATCCTCATTGCTAGCAACATGCCTGGCCCTCAATACATATTAATATAAAAGTATTTTGGGATATTGGAATGATAGATGATTTTGTAGCTCTACTTTCCAAACTTTTTGCACATTTATTATATCATCTCCATAATAAAAGACTTATAATCACTTTTTTAAATGTGACCCTTTTTTTTAACCAAATGAGATTACCACCAATTTCAGATCACAGGTCCTGAGTGTGATTTGAATCTGATCTAATCTGATAGTTGGACTAATAGAAATAGTCACTTGCTTCAGTGGTTGAATTAACACTGTTTTTTTTTTTTTAATCAGGTTCAGTTGGAACATTGGAAGAAGGCATTCAAGAAGAAAGAAATGTTAAGGAGGTAAATTTAAAGCAGCCTTTCTAAAAGTTGTATTTTGGGTAAAAGAGAGTCTAGAATTTATGGAAACTACCAATGTGTTTCTCTTATTCTGAAAAAGTTCATCTGCTAGTCATTTTGTAGATTTTGGTGTAAAACACTTATTTTAGCACTGGGTACAGTGGAAATTATACTTATTTTTAGGGAAATATTAGAGAAATGACAAAGAAAAACGAAGTTCAAGGGATGCCAGAAGATCTGTCTTGAATCACATTAGCAACCAGGCACTACCAGGATGGCTACGGTTGTAGCACACCCAAGCCCTTTCCACTCCCCCTTGGAATGCCAAAATCTGGACTGACCCTTAATTCTTTCAGTGCTACCTCAGCTATGCATTTGGGATCTTTAAGCCTGAAAGCAGTTTGCCCTGTGTTTACAGTGCATGACAGAAAGAAGGAGCTCAATAATAAATGCTCTAATAAAATATATCCCGGCTAACCTAAATTATTCAGAAAGTCCCACAAATATTGATCAATTTCATATTCCTCTATGACCCTGGGGATCTTGAGATCCTCAAAATCTTGAGCCAACTTCACAATAGGATTCCAAGCTGTGAAACACTATAGGACTCTGGAACTGAAACTGAGCAGAGAGAAATATAATGAAAATACCCCACCAAATCTACATCATCCTACCTGTGTCTGAATCGTATGGACTCCAGATGGAATGGAGAGTTCATTTTTAGTTTTAGTCTCTGCCAAGTTGTTTATATTGCTCCAGAAGATGCTGATTATAATACTCAGAATCTGATAAATGTCTGCTATGAATACACAAGCCATAAAATTGTATATTTAGTTGTTAAATACATATTTTACATCCATTAAGCCTATTTGTTCTATTAGCACTAGACATAAACCTCTGAGAACAGACACTCCTTTTGTCCCCAACATCTCCTCACAAATATATGTTGAATAAAAGATGATCATAAGTTCTGTGATAAGTTGAAGATGTTCCTCATCCAAGTGCCCTGGCTTTTAAGAGGACAACACTGTTCTCCAGTACCCAAGTGTCCATCCCTCATGAAAGAAGGATGTTCACTGTCTCCCAAAAGGATTTTGGAGACTTCTTGGGAAAAAGTTTCCTCAAACCTTTCCTATTTATTGCCTGTTGAATGGAATTCATGGCAGAATAGCATAAGGGCCAAGAATCTGGGCTCTGGTATGAGACTTTCTGGAATTGACTCAGATTCTACCACTTAATAGCCACGTGACCTTCGGCAAATTTTTTAACCTACATAAGCATCATTTTTTCATCTATAAAAGAGTGATAATAGCAATACCCACCTCTGTAGAGATCAAAGAAATGAAAAGTACACTGCACAGTCCTTGGCACAAACCAGCAATTCCTACACAGTTTCCATTATTCTTGGCTCACCCTTTCTTAATACAGGAAACTATTTCTCCAAACGTCTTTGACTCTTCTCATATTCTCTAAAAAACATGGATACATGCACCTATTCTAATTCTTCCAAACACAGCTGCTCCTGAAGGCTAGGGAATAACAAAGGGAAATAACAATAGAAAAATAGATGAGGAGGACATTTAAAATAAAATATTAGATGACTTCTAGAGCCCACTGACAAGACCATCTTTTTTTTTTTTAACAATGCTGCCTTAATAGCATATTTGGAGGGATTGAAGAAGGAAAGCTAATGTTTTTCATGTACCTAGCCTCAAACAGTGCTGCTTTTCCATCAATTAAAAAAGAATGATGGCATGGTGGTTGTTAATGAAGCAGGAGTGTGAAAATGAAAGTTTGTTAAATGACAGGAATGTTAGCTATTAAGACATATAAAGAAAATCATCAAATTGTGTTGTTTAGTAGATGCTTCTTCTCCCTGCAGTTAGATCCTGGCTGTGTTAGAGTCAGTTCTCTTCCCAGGATCCTAAACCCTTTCCTCATCATTACCATCCCAGGACTGTGGCTTTCCCTTTACATAATAAAAAGTCCACCAAAGGTGTGGGGGAAAGAAAGATAGATCAGACTGTTATTGTGTCTATCTAGAAAAAGGAAGACATAAGAAACTCCATTTTGATCTGTACTAAGAAAAATTCTTCTGCCTTGAGATGCTGCTAATCTGTAACCCTGGCCCCAACCCTGTGCTTGCAAAAACACGTGCTGTATTGACTCAAGGTTAAATGGATTTAGGGCTGTGCAGGATGTGCTTTGTTAAAAATGTGTTTGCAGGCAGTATGCTTGGTAAAAGTCATCGCCATTCTCCAGTCTCGAGTACCCAGGGACACAATGCACTGTGGAAAGCCGCAGAGACCTCTACCCAAGAAAGCCTGGGTATTGTCCAAGGTTTCTCCCCACTGAGACAGCCTGAGATATGGCCTCATGGGAAGGGAAAGACCTGACTGTCCCCCAGCCTGACACCAATACAGGGTCTGTGCTGAGGAGGATTAGTGAAAGAGGAAGGCCTCTTTGCAGTTGAGATCAGAGGAAGGCATCTGTCTCCTGCTCGTCCCTGGGAATGGAATGTCTCGGTGTAAAACCCGATCATACATTCTATTTTCTGAGATAGGAGAAAATCGCCTCATGGCTGGAGGTGAGACATGCTGGCAGCAATACTGCTCTTTACTGCACCGAGATGTTTGTGTAAAGTCAAACATAAATCTGGCCTACATGCACATCGAGGCACAGCACCTTTCCTTAAACTTATTTATGACACAAAGTCCTTTGCTCACATGTTTTCCTGCTGATCCTTTACCCACCATTACCCTATAGTCCTGCCACATCCCCCTCTCCGAGATGGTAGAGATAGTGATCAATAAATACTGAGGGAACTCAGAGACCAGTGCCGGTGCGGGTCTTCCCTATGCTGAGTGCAGGTCCCCTGGGCCCACTTTTCTTCCTCTATACTTTTTCTCTGTGTCTTATTTCTTTTCTCAGTCTCTCATCTCCACCTTGCGAGAAATACCCACAGGTGTGGAGGGGCAGGCCCCCTTCAAAAGGCCTATCATGACATCAAGTAACAAAGTGTTTTGAATCCCAGGATGGAGCACACAGTGCCGCCACTGCCAGGAGTCCCCAGCCTTGCTCCCTGCTGGGGACAAAGTTCAACTGTAAGGAGTCCCCTAGAATAAACCTAAGGAAAGTCAGGTAAGCCACTCTGGTTTCCTCAACAGGATCAGGAGCACATCTGTCCCTGGAGATACAGACTGAAGCCAAAGTTACTTGCCCTTTATGTGATAGTGTGAATTATAGCTCTTTCCACTAGTCAGATGATTCTTCTAATTACAGTGTTTCTAAGTTGTAATTTAGAGAATTAACTTCAAAATAATACTCCTTTATCTAGATTTCTGAAAACTTCATAATATTCTGGTTTCCTCTCTATATACTGCCACTTAATCTCACATGCAACACTGGCTGCTCTCAATTTAGCAGGTTATTTTTCAGGCTACCATGTACTGTTGGAAGATATAAAAAGATAAGTTATGACTTCACTTCTCAAGTGTTTATGTTCTAGTTAAGAAGACAAAACCTACCAGAAGGCAATTAAACTACCATAAAAGATACACTGTGGATAACACCAGCTGAAGTTAAAGGAATTCAAGAGAGAAATGGCTGGCTGTGAGAATGAGCAAAGTCTTTGTAAAGAAAGGAAGAGGATATTCACAAGAGAGGATAAAAGAAAGCAAGACCTTTGGGGAACAATGAGGAGGACAGTCCGACAGTTAACTGTTCAAAATGTATCTATGGGGAAATATTTGTGTGTGTATGCTTTATATGATTTTATGTTACATAAATCATATCACTAAGTTAAAAAATAAAAGCCATCAGATAAATAGGTTTATCTCCATTTTAAAAATGTAATTCTTCAGGCTGGGCGCGGTGGCTCACGCCTGTAATCCCAGCACTTTGATAGGCCAAGGCAGGTGGATCACGAGGTCAGGAGTTCAAGACCAGCCTGACCAAGGTAGTGAAACCCCATCTCTATTAAAAATACAAAAATTAGCCAGGCGCTGTGGCAGATGCCTGTAATCCCAGCTACTCAGGGGGCTGAGGCAGGAGAATCGCTTGAACCTGGGCGGCGGAGGTTGCAGTGAGCCGAGATCACGCCATTGCACTCCAGCCTGGGCAACAGAGTGAGACTTCATCTCAAAAAAAAAAAAAAATATATATATATATATATATGTATATGTATTTATATATATATATATATGTATATGTATTTATATATATATATGTATTTTTATATATATATTTTATATATATATATATTTCTTCCATGCCACCTCCATATTTTAAAATATGGCCATATTTAAAAGTAGATTTAAAAGCTTAAAATACCCTATAAAAAAGTATTTGCAAGATGAATTTAATGGCGGATTAGAGGCTTTCAATGTGCCTCAGCCACTTTGAAGTAGCAAGATAGTGCATAAAAATTATCTCCGTGAGCTACAATTCAAGAAGGAAGATGGGAATCCCACTGGAATCATGAGGGACACCCCAGATCCCAGAGAGAAGAACAGTGGCAAACAGCACTCCCATGACAGTATCTACCTCATAAAAGTGAGTGAAGCCCCAGTATATGAGAGAAGTAGAGAGCTTCCCTTTGTGACTCATCTTTCTACTGGAGAGCCATGCAACCCAGGCCAAGAGAGACCACTTTGTTTCTCCCCTAGCCCTCGAGTTAACTTAGGAGAAAGGCACTGGAGAAAGCTGTAGACATTTTCCCAGACCTGGGATGAGAGCAGGATGCCATTTTTAATCCGGTCACATAAAAAGTCAGTCATTTTTGGGTGACTCAGCAGCATGGCTATACAGGCATTTTAGTCTCAGGCCAGAGATTGAACACCCTGTTCTGGAGCAGGGTAGGAGCCTTCACTGCCAGAATTGTGGGAAGTGCCTCAACAGTAGGTGCTAGAATTGTGCTTTTTCCCATTGCAAGTCTGGGGTAGGAGGAAAACTGCTACAGCTGTAATTTCTTCTGGGTAGTGAGACTTGCAGCCAGGGCCAGCTTGGCAACCACAAACTTATCTGTATGTGCCATTGCTGAGTGCCTTACCCTGCTCCCCTGAGATTGTGGTGCAGTGGGGCCCTTTCTGCTCAACCTCCAGGTAGAAATGCAGGTATGTGGAGCACTCATTCACCCTGTTCAGCACCCTAAGCCATCCCACCCTTCCTGGACACAGATCATGGTGCAGTGGGGCTCCCTCTGCTCCCCACCCAGGCAGATCTCAGGTGTTCAGAGCACCCATTTGCCTTGTTCAGCAGCTTGAGCCATGCAACCCTTTCTGGACATAGATCATGGTACAGTGGGGCTCTCTGTTCCACACCCAGGCAGACCTCCAGGCATTTGGAATACCCATTCACCTGGTTCAGCAGCCTAAGCTATGCCATCCTCCCTAGACATAGATTGTGGTGCAGCAGGGCTCTCTCTGCTCCAAGCCCAGGGAGATCTCCAGACATTTGGGGCACCCATTTGCCTGGTTCAAGAGCCTGAGCCACCCCATCCTTTCTGCACATAGATCATGGTATAGCAGGGCTCTCTCTACTCCACACTTAGGCAGATCTCCAGGCATTTGGATTACTCACTCACTGGATCAGCAGCCTGACCCACCCCATCCTTTCTGTGCAGAGATCCTGGTGTGTGGGAACTCTCTCTCTGCTTCATGCCCAGGCAGATCACCGGCATTCAGAGTACCCACTGACCTGTTTCAACAGCCTGAGCCACCCCACCCTTCCAGAATCATGAAGCAGTGGGACTCTCTGCTCCATGACCAGGCAGATCTCCAGGCATTCAGACTATGCACTCACTGGATCAGCAGCCTGACCCAACTGCTCCCCCCACTTCCTGTGCAGAGATTTTGGTACAGGGGGACCTTCTCTGCTCCACGCTCACACAGATCTCCAAGCATTCAGAGCACCTGCTTCCTTGGGCCAGCAGCCTGAGTCACCCTACCCCTCCTGTGCAGAGATCTTGGTGCAGGGGGGCCATCTCTGCTCCACACACAAGCAGATCTCAGGCATCTGAAGCACCCACTCTTCTAGATTAGGAGCTTAGGCTGCCCCCATCCCTGTGCAGAGAACTCAGAGCCAAGGTTTCCCAACTCCATGCCCAGGCACACCAGTGAGTACCTGGTGGACACTCACTGGATTCTCTATTGGCACTGGTGCTTGTGCCTGCTATCAAGAGACCTGCAGACAGACCTGCCCAGTCAAGACACACCCTTTTTGGCTCCTACTCCCCATCCCCTCAAGGCTGAGCAGGGAGCTCAGACCACTGTGCATATTAGGAATTAGCCCATTGCCTAAAACAATAGTTTCTGCCAGTAAACACGGGTCAAGTATATACCTAAACACATTGGCTACAGCCAGCTCTTACTGTAAGTACCATCTACAGGCTTGTACGATGAACTGCACAGCCCAATATAAAACCTGCCAAAAGTTTTATTAAGACATAGAGCTACAGTAGCAAAGCCAAAACAGCATTCTCTATGGTCATACCCCCTAGGGAGTGGGGGAAAAGGGAAGGGAAAAAATAAAATATAAACAAATAATAATATTATTAAAGGGAAAAAGGAAAATTCTACTCACATGAAAAGAATTACAAAAATTAGAAGTGCCAGTGTCTCCAGATGAGAAGGAACCCATGCAAGAATTCTGGCACCATGAAAAATCTAAATGTAGTAACACCACTAAAGGATTTCACTAGCTCTCCAGCAATGGTCCCTAACCAAAATGTAAACTCAGAGATACAGATAAGGAAGTCAAAGCATGGATTATAAGGAAGCTTAATGAGATCCAAGATGAAGCTGGAAATCAACACAAAGAAACCTTAAAACAATCCAGGAAATGAAAGAAGAGATAAACACCTTAAAAAGAAATCAATCAGGGCTTCTGGAATTGGAAAACTCACCTAAAAAAATTGAAAATACAATTGAAAATGTTATCAATAGACTAAACCAAAGAGAAAAATGAATTTCAGAGCTTGAAGACCACTCTTTTGAACTAACCCTGTCTGCCTGAAATAAAGTTTAAAAGAATTTTAAAAATGAGCAAAGTCTTTGAGAAATATGGGATTATATAAAGAAATCAAACTTATGAATTATTGGCATTCCCTAGAGAAGGAGAAAAGTCAAACAACCTATAGAATATATTTCAGGAAATAATTCAAGAAAACTTCTTTAATCTTGCTAGAGATGTAGACATCCAGATACAAAAACCTAGAGACAATATACAAAATGAACGTCCCCAACACATATAGTCACCAGACTGTCCAGGGTCAGTGCCAAAGAAAAAATTTTAAAGTCAGCGAAATAGGGTAGATAACATACAATGGGAACTCCATGAGGCTAACAGCAGATTTCTCACCAGAAACCTTACAAGCCAGGAGAGACTGGGGATCTATATTCATCTTTCTGAAAGAAAGAAAATTCCAACCAAGAATTTCATATCCTGCCAAACTAAGCTTTATAAGCAAAGGAAAATTAACTTTCCAGACAAGAAAGTGCTAAGGGAATTCATTACCATGAGACCATCCTTACAAGAGACTGTTAAGAGAGTTCTAAACAAGGAAAGAAAAGAATGGCAACTGCTACCACAAAAACTCACCCATGTACATACCTTGCAGGCCATATAAAACAAAAACACAACAGAAACTGCACAATACACAGCTAACAACTTCACAATAGGATCAAAATTACATATCAATATGAATCTTGAATGTAAATGGTGTAAACACCCCCACGTAAAAGGCATAGAGGGGCAAGTTGAATTTAAAAAACAAGACCTATCCTTCAAGAAACGCATCTCACACATAATGACACCAATGAGCTCAAAGTAAAGGGCTGGAGAAAGATCTACCATGCAAATGGAAAACAAAAAAGAGCAGGGGTCACTATTTTTATATCAGATAAAACAGACTTTAAATAGGAAACAGTAAAAAAGACAAAGAAATGCATTATGTAATGATAAAGGGTTCAATGTAAAAAGAAGACTTAATCATCCTAAATTTATATGCACCCAATATTGGAGCACCTAGGTTCATAAAACACATACTTCTAGGTGTATGAAAAGGCTTAGATAGTCATACAATACTAGTGAGGGACTTTAACTCCCCACTGATAGTATTAGACAGATTGAGACAGAAAAGTAACAAAGAAATTCTGGACTTTAACTCAACACTTGGACCTAATAGACATCTACAGAATACGCCACCCATCAACCACAATGTATATTATTCTCATCCGCACACAAAAAATATTCCAAGATTGACCACATGCTCAGCCATAAAGCAAGTCTCAATCAATTCAAAAGAATCAAAATCATACCAACCATATTCTTGGACAACAGTGGAATAAAAATAGAAATGAATACCAAGAAGATCTCTCAAAACCACACAATTACATGGAAATTAAACAATTGACTTCTGAATGATGTTTGAGTAAACAATTAAATCAAGGCAAAAATCAAAAACAACTTTGAAATAAATGAAAGAGACACAACATACCAAAGTCTCTGGGATACAGCAAAACCAGTGTTAAGCATAAAGTTTATAACACTAAATGCCTACCTCAAAAGTTAGAAAGATCTCAAATTAACAATCTAATTTCACCCCTTAGGAACTAGAAAAACAAGAACAAATGAGCTACAAAGCTAGCAGAAGAAAAGAAATAACTAAAATCAGAAAAGAACTGAACAAAATTAAGACATAAAAGTCCACACAAAGAATCAATGGAAATAAAGTTGGTTTTTTGAAAGGATAAACAACATCAGTAGATCACTAGCTAGATTAAAAAAAAAAAGAAAGCTCCAAATACACACAATCAGAAATGACAAAGGTGACGTTATAACCAATCCCACAGAAATACAAAAGATCCTTGGAGACTGTTATGAACACCTCTACATACACAAACTAGAAAATGTAGAAGAAATGGTGTATCAGTCCGTTTTTCTGCTGCTGATAAAGACATACTTGAGACTGGGCAATTTACATAAGAAAGAGGTTTACTGGATTTACAGTTCCACGTGGCTGCGGAGGCCTCACAATCGTGGCAGAAGGTGAAAGACACATCTCATATAGTGGCAGACAAGAGAAGACAGCTTGGGCAGGGAAACTCCCCCTTATATAATCATCAGATCTCGTGAGACTTATTCACTATCATGAGAACAACACAGGAAAGACTTGCCCCCACGATTCATTTATCTGCCTTCGGGTCTCTCCCACAACATGTGGGAATTTAAGATGAGATTTGGGTGGAAACACAGCCAAACCATATCAAATAGGTAAATTTCTGGGACCACACAATCTCCCAAGATTGAATCAGGAAGAAATTGAAAAACTGAACAGACCAATATCAGGTTCCAAAATTGAATCCATAAAAAAGAACCTACCAACCAAAAAAAAAAAAAAAAAAAAAAGCCAAGGGCAGGTGGATTCACAGCCAAATTCTACCAGATATACAAAGAAGAGCTAGTACTAATTCTACTGAAACTATTTCAAAAAATCAATGAGAAGGAACTCCTCACTAACTCATTCTACAAAGCCAGCATCACCCTGATATCAAAACCTGGCAAAACACAATGAAAAAAGACAACTACAGGCCAATATTCCCAATCAACATAGATGTGAAAATCCTCAACAAAATTTTAGCAAATTAAATCCAGCAGCACATCAGAAAGTTAATATACCACGATCAAGTAGGCTTTATTTCTGGGATGCAAGACTGGTTCAACATCCAGCAAATCAATAACTGTGGTTCACCACATAAACAGAATCAAAAACAAAACCATATGATCATCTCCATAGACATAGAGAAAGCTTTTGATAAGATCCAACATCCCTTCATGATAAAAAGCCTCAACAGACTAGGCACTGAAGGGACACACCTCAAAATAATAGGAGCCATCAAGCTCCTATTATTTTTGGGACAAGCCCACAGCCAACATCATACTGAATAGGCAAAAGCTGGAACCATTCCCTTTGAGAACTGGAACAAGAAAAGGATGTCCACTCCCACTACTCCTATTCAACATAATACTAGAAATGCTAGCCAAAGCAATTAGGCAAAAGAAAGAAATAAAGTCATCCAAAAAAGAAAAAGAAGTCAAACTATCTCTCTTTACAGACAATATGATTTTATATTTAAAAAACCCTAAGGACTCTACCAAAAGGCTTCTGGAGGTGACAAACAACTTCAGCAAAGTTTCAGGATGCAGAATCAATGTACAAAAATCAGTAGCATTTCCATACACCAATGTTCAAGCTGAGAGCCAAGTCAAGAACACACTCCCATTTACAATATATACACACACACACAAACCTTAGGAATACATGCAACCAAGGAGGTAAAAGATTTCTATAAGGAGAATGACAAAATACTGCTGAAAGAAATCACAGATGACATAAACAAATGGAGAAACATTCCATGCTTGTGGATTAGAAGAATCAATATTGTTAAAATGGCCATACTGCCCAAAACAATCTACAGATTCAACACTATTCTTATTGAATTACCAATATAATTTTTCACAGAATTAGAAAAAAAATGGCCGGGTGTGGTGGCTCACACCTGTAATTCCAGCACTTTAGGACGCCAAGGTCAGGAGTTTGGGACCAGCCTGGCCAACATGGTGAAACCCCGTCTCTACTAAAAATACAAAAAAATAGCTGGGCTTGATGGTGGGTACCTGTAATCCCAGCTACTCAAGAGGCTGAGGCAGGAGAATTGCTTGAACCCAGGAGGCGGAGGTTGCAGTGAGCCAAGATCACACCATTGCACTCCAGCCCGGGCGACAGTGCGAGACTCTGTCTCAAAAAAAAAAAAAAAAAAAAAGCCAGGGCATCACAATACTATAAGGCATAGTAATCAAAGCAGCATGGTACTGGTACAAAAACAGACACATAGACCAATGGAACAGAATAGAGAACCTATAACTAAAGCCCCACACTTACAACCATCTAATCTTCAACAAAGTTGACAATACAAGCAATGGGGAAAGGACTCCCTATTCAATAACTGGTACTAGGATAACTGGCTAGCCATATACAGAAGAATGAAACTGAAACTATTTCATTCTTTCCCCTACCTTTCACCATATACAAAAATTCACTCAAGACAGATTAAAGATTTAAATGTAAGACCTCAAACCATAAGAATCCTAGATGAAAACCTAGGAAACACTATTCTCGACACTGGCCTTGGCAAATAATTTATGACTAAGTCTTCAAAAGCAATTGCAACAAAAACAGAAACTGACAAGTAGGACCTAATTAAACTAAAGAGCTTCTGCACAGCAGAAGAAACTATCAATAGAATAAACAGACAACCTACAGTATGGGAGAAAATATTCCCAAACTGTGCATCCAACAAAGGCCTAATTTCCAGAATCCATAAAGAACTTAAACAATTGAACAAGCAAAAAACAACCCCATTAAAAATGCATGAAAGACATAGACAGACACTTCTCAAATGAAGACGTACAAGCAGCCAGCAAACATGAAAAAGTGCTCATCATGACTAATCATTAGAGAAATGCAAATCAAAACCACAATGAGATACTACCTCACACCATTCAGAATGACTCTTACTAAAAAGACAAAAACAACAGATATGATGAAGCTGCAGAGAAAAGGAAACATGTATACACTGTTGGTGGGAATGTAAACTAGTTCAGCCACTATGAACAGTAGTTTGGAGATTTCTCAAAGAACTTAAAACAGAACTACCATTTGATGCAGCAATGGCATTACTGGAGATATATATATATATATACACAAATTATTCTACCAAAAAGACACATGCACTTGCATGTTCATCGTAGCACCACTTACAATAAATAGCAAAGACATGGAATCAACCTAGGTGCTCATCAGTGGTGGGTTGAATAAAGAAAATGTGGTACATATATGCCATGAAATACTATACAGCCATAAAAAAGACCCAAATCCTGTCCTTTGCAGCAATATGGATGCAGCTGAAACCCATTATCCTAAGCAAATTAACACAAGAAAAGAAAACCAAATATTGCATGTTCTCACCTGTAAGTGGGAACTAAACATTGGGTACTCATGGATATAAAGATGGCAACATTAGACCCTGGGGATTTCTACAGAGGGCAGGGAGGGAGGGGTCAAGGGTTGAAAAACTAACTACTGGGTACTATGCTCAGTACCTGGGTGATGGAATCATTTGAATCCTAAGCCCAGCATCACGCAATATACCCAGGTAACAAACTTGCACATGTATCCCTGGAATCTAAAATAAAAATTGGAAAGAAAAGGATTTTTTTTTATTATTGCCCAAAGAATACTTTCATATATTATCAGAAGATATTCTCTTTTTTGTATATTGAATTTAAGTCAGAATGATTTAGGTAATGTTTAATGCATTGATCTCTTTTACCTCAAAAAAGTAATACTGTCATAGAAAGCAGAAGGAAATACAAGGAGGTGCTGGAGATTGATAATCTTCTTGGCAGGAGGACACCCAAGTCAGCAGTTTCTTATATAATCCTATAATAATAAAAGCAGTTCAAGAATGGTCCAAAAAAAGAATTAATTGCTTACAATAAGATCAATATCTTTACTTTGGACTAATGTGTACAACATGATTAGGAAAACACTGTAATTTCAACAGGCAAACTTATGAATAAGCAATTCAAGTAAAAGACAATACCTAACAATGGAGAAAATAGTAATCTAAGAAATGCAGAATTTAAAAAAAATTATTAACATTTGCTTTTTTAATTGACAACTTTTTTATTCATTGGTAACATCTATTTCCTTTGAAACAGAAGAGGAAATAGATGAAAACTGAGGGATATTGGTTTTCTCATATTTTGCTGGTAGAAGAGTAAAAACAACTTGTAACAAAGTTATAAGAATGCTCACACACTTTGAATTAGTGATTATGCTTCTAGGGATTAATCCAAAGTAAATTATTCTTACAGTAAATGTGTACAAAACGTCCAAGGCACTACTACTTCTAATGACGAAAGAGCCCAAGTGTCTAACAACGAGATTGTCTACAGAACATCCATATGAGGAAATATTGTGCAACCATTAAAAGGGTTGGTTGTATAGATCAATGTAAAATATGAAGAGGAAGGCAAAATATGCAACATACAATATATATACATCTTTCAACATGAAAAGGGTCTAGAAAAGATCAATACAAGTTATTTAATTATGGAATTAGAAGGATGAGAATAGGAGTGGTTTTGATCACTTCTCTTATTTTATGCAGTTCTATTGATTTTATAATAAAAAGCATGATTATGAAACTATTAAACATTATTGAAATATAAATTATGTGAAAGTTATTTATTTCTTCTTAACACCCTTTACGTTCAGCAATACTGGTTTGATGAAGGGGGTTTTTATAGTCAGAACTGAAGCTCAATGAGTGGTAATGGATTAAGTCAATGCTTCTCACAATGGACAATCCTCCTCCTGACAATCCATAAACTATGCCTGTTCATTTTAGCACGCTTCAGTGGCTTCTCAGACTCTGACTCCTAGGTTAAATCATTCTGCCACCACTCTATGAGTGACAAGGGATTCACACTCACTTGCTCAATTTCCTTCCTTGGCCTTAACAAAAATGACCAAGTGTGTCTTATGGGAGTCAAATTGACCCTCTAGTACATCCTATTCTGGGTTGTAAGTCAATATTGAAAGATTCAAAAGCCCTCTATGTTTTTGTTTTTTCTTTCCGCTTCTATTAGGAAAGAGTAAGACTGTTAAGAAGACCGAAGCATGTATTAATGCTGTGGCTATGAGAGGCCTCCTGCTGCAGAAACACACTTCCCTACATCAAGAAGGAGTAACTTCAGGTTGGATCCTGTGTGGATGATCTTGGTGCTAAGCAGAAAAGAAATTTGGACCTTGAAACCAGCAGTTCAACATATATACTTTTTGCAAAATTTCCTTGATTTAAAATATTTGTTATTTTAAATATACAAAACATTTTAGAAAATCTTAGAGTAAATTTTAGTCTTAAAGCCAGAAAATAAGTTTATAGCCATCTAGATATTTTGCATATTGCTCTTACAGCAATAATGGTTTGGTTCACTTTATGAAAAATAAAATGTATTAAAATATAGTTTAAATGCTGTTCTTGATCCAAGTATTGATTTTTGTCACTCATTGTACTTCACTCATCTCGGTAGCTCTCAGAGAATTATAATAGTGAGGAATGAAAACTGATTCAGACTGAATCAGGCAACTTAGCCCTGAGTGAAACTTTCAGTAATCACTTTATTCACCATTATACTCACAGCAACAAGCACAATGCCTAGTATGTAATTTTAGATAATAGTCTTAACAGTGAAGAATTAGTGCATGCTTTCTGTATGTTAGGCATACAACACATGCCATACAGTTATGATGAACTCATTTTGTAACAATCATATAAGGTAAGTACAATTATTCCCAATTTATGAATGAGTAAACTGAAAATCTTACAACTAGGAAGAGGCAGAGCAGAGATTTGAAAACAAGTTATAACACATATCCCCCTAATATGGTAAGCCCTAAATAGATATCTGAAGAATTAATAAAAATTTAGCTTGCAGTGAGCTGAGATAGCACCACTGCAGTCTGGCCCGGGTGAAAGAGCAAGACTCCATCTCCAAAAAAAAAAAAATATATATTTAAAGATAAGTCTTCAGAGTCAGACTTCCACCTGGGGGTCTAGAAATCTGAATGCTATGCCAAATAACTGGTGGTGGGCACATTTTAGAAGCCAAGTATGGCAACTCCTGTCACAAAAGTGTCCTTGTGGAAAAGACAACTTGGTTTGTTTCTGTTGACAAAGTCAAATCAAACTGCTACCACTTCTCTCCAAAACTAACCTTAACCAGTTTTTTCCCAGTGATAATTACCTGACAGCTGTTAAGTGTTTAAGGAACCCCATTAATGAGTACCCCTCCTCTCCTGAGTTCTGAACCAACTGAAAATTATGATAAAGGGTTAAAGCAGATAGAGATTAAAACATTCACAAGCTCACCATTATTACTGATGGAGCTGACATTAGATAAGGTGGTTGCCTTCTTTTCCCTAGAACTGAAAAGATTGACTGCTGTAGGCATTTGTCATTAAGCTTAATGCATAGCTGAGAACAGTAGAAAATGCAAGATTTCTAAGAGTAAATTTACTCCAAAAAGTATCAAGAAGAAGGGGATTAACACAGAATGTCCAGGCTCTACTTCCAAATACATCAACCAAATAAACCACCGCACTTCAGTAGAACAAATGAGAAAATGAAGATGGGCAGCAATATAAAGGCAATGGAGATTTCAGCCCTTGATCTAGAGCAAGGACCTAGAGAGGGAAGAAGTGTTCTCCACCAACAGTAGCTGTTACTTACAGAGAGCCTAATGTTACTTACAGAGAGCCTAATGTGTCTTCTGATACGCTATTCTGAGTGCTTTTCCCTCATTAGCTTATGCAGTCATCATATGAATTTTGGGAGGTACTTACCATCATTAGTCCCATTTTGCCAAGGAAGTAATGGGGCTTAGAGCACACAAATAAATTGCTCAAAGTCACACAGCTAGGCATGATGACATGGATTTAAATCCTCCAAGCACAATCAGTGTAATGCTTTTTAAGTTATTTAGATTTTATCATGGAAATTTAAGCCATTGAAGAAGTATTGCATACACTCCATTATATTAGTTATTGTCAATGTCATGGACTAGGTTTGTGTACTGGATTGTAAACATCTCCCTGTGGGAAAAGGCCACTACACAAGACACTGGAATATAAAATCCTGGTACCATGCATGATGTATATAACCAGCCTCATCTTCAGGGCATGGTGGGTTGTGTGCCTAGGGCTCTGTTTTTACCTGAAAGAATGTAATGTACAGACTTTGGCTGAGGAAGGTTCTTAGAGCTCACTTTCATTTGGCTCTTCAGAGGAAAGCTGTTTATTTGCTTACAATGCCCAGAATATTGTCTGCTTTTAAAATTTTTATATAAAAGGCTTTCCTTGGTCTGTTGACCCTTGAATATTTTTGTAATTTAGCTTTATTCTTTAACTTTTATAATGCTTAAACCTGGTTTGTACTTTTTCTGCAGATATTTGACTTATCTTCCATGTTCTATATTAGTTTTACTAATGAAAAACAGGAAACTTTGCAAATGAAGAAACATTCTTCCCAAGGGTCATTTATTCTCAGAGAAGTGCTGTCCCACCCTCCTGGTGGTTACAGCTAGGAGAGCATTCCCAGTGAACTGAAAAAGTTCCCATTCTGTTTCTAGGCAATCATCTCTGGATTACCATGGCTCCTGCAAAGCCAATGGAGCTATGTGCTGAAATCTCTTCACCACAAAGCAAAAGTCTAACCCCAACGTTCACCTAGAGAGTTACTGAAACTCTGTTATCTCCTCTTTAAAACAAAATATTTTTTATATGGAATAGCAGCAATTAATAGTTACAGTTTTCAAACACACAACTATCTGACATTAGCTAGGACCACTAATCAGCTCATATTCTGTATCACAAAGTATATAGGTAGAAAGTTCTATTCAGGAAGATTCCTCAGTACTCTCTCACCATGCAGCCTTTGCCCTCTTTTAAAGGGAAGCAGAATAGGGAAGTCTTAACTAAGCTATTTGACTCCTGGTTCTGTAAGAAATCTTAAATAAACCACTTCTTTTCCCAAAATAAAATGCCCCAAAATAATTTTCTTTCTGTATAATTAGTTCTCCTAATTCCCTTCCCTCATTTCACCATTGCCAGAAAGTGACTGGGCTTGGGCTAGGGCTAGGGCTAGAATTATCCCATCTAGGCCTTTGAAACTGCAGGAGTATCTAGAATCACTCTTATCACTCACTCTTACCCTAAAGGTCTCTAACGTGCCTTGTGCTGAGGCCAGCCCAGATTGTGAAAACTGCGTAAGAACTGGGAAGCCTTGACACACTACATGCAAATATACTGCTCCTTATTGACACATTGGAGTGATGTAGACCAGGTTTCAAAGTCAAGCTAAGACGTCTTTCTATGAGTACTTATTAAATAGGACAACAAATAGATATATCCACACCCCGTTTGAACTTATATCTTAGCTCTGTCACTTCCTATTGGGATATCCTTGAGCAAGTCACTTGAGCCTGGTGTTCTCATCTACAACAAAGAGGAAATGGTATTTATTCCACAGAATTCTTACATGAAGAAATTAGAAATTGTATCTAAAGCATTTAACAGAATTACTGGATTATTAGAAAGCTCTCAACAAATACTTATTGTAATTATACTTTTCTATGATCTTCAAAGGATATAGCAAAACAGTCATTGGTCATTAATTCTTTACAGCAATGCCAAAGGATAGGAAAGTAAATTTAAAGATCTCAACCCAAACGTTCTCTGATTTCCCTATCATCTGCTTACAAATATCCAGGCTTTTATTTCCAATTCAACACATACGGTTTCTTACATGTGTTAGAAATGTAGTTTCTTACACGTGTTAGGCACTGGAGTTAAACACTGAGAAGAATAAAGAGTGAATCTATGATTCAAAGATTTGTTATCTGGGCTTCTTTGTGTGGGGGTGTGTTGCTCTACTCATTTACGGAGAGGAGATATATTATTTATAGTCCAGAGTCAGTTTTACAGCAGTAAATCTATTATAAATATCCTGCTCTTTCATGCTACTTTACACAAGTGATTGATAGCTAACACTTCCACAGCTCAGCTTCTCCATCTAGCGGCCTGAGTAAAACAGAAGCTTGAAAGCAATTCCTAACCTTCCCCTAAATTACAATGGGCAGATTGATTTCCAACTCACCCTACCATGGCTCTCTGGACTCAAAGACTCTTTTAGACAATAGTGGAACTAATTAAGCCACACATGGAGCAGCATCCAGGCTGTGTCTGCTCAGGCTGCCCCAACTAGGGTCTAGGATCTGTTCATTCATACTGGTGGGAAGTCAACAATAGCCCTACTCACTGGCTAAGCACCCTGTCCATGTGGTCTCTCTTTCACAATGCTAAGACATTCTGGTCCCCTGCTGCTAGCCTCTAGGTAGTGCAAAATGTGCTGAGGCCACTGAGGAAGGGGCACTTTTAGGTTAGATTGATTGTTTTTCTTTTTTTCTGAAGGTAATAGGGAAGAGAGAGGTTAGTTATAATAGTATACCAAGATTCCTTCCGACTCCCACACATACATACCTCTTTTTCTCGTACACAAAATGGCAGACCACTGGTTGTCATCCCAGATTTTCCATACACAAGGAAGAAGCATTCAATAATTTGGAACACATACTCTATTTTTTATTGTAATTATCCAGCCTGGGAAAGGAAATGGTTTTGAAAGAGGAGAATAGGAGAAACAGACAAGGGTACCCCCAGGTTTCTTAGATCTATATGCTGTGGAAACCTGATTTTCAATATAAGCTTTGTTAAGAATATTCTTTTTTACTTCAATGCTTCATTTAATTTATTGATGGGAGGGTTTTCCTGAATTTCAAATATTTACAGAATAAGAAAATTTACCACCCTAACATCTTTCCTAGAGTCAATTACATGAGGGATTCATGAAAAAAATTAATGGAGCTACTATTGGGGAAATAGAATTAAAAGCAAAATCTCCTGCTATTTCAGAAAACCTCACCACAAAAATAGAAGAGAAAGAAAACACTTTTATTTCTGAATATTCAACCAGAATGTAATGCACACCACAGGCAATCCCCTAAAGAGATTACTAAAACAGAAAGAAATCTTCCCCTTTTATATGCCAAGAAGATATCCTCCACTGCACACATTTTCTCAAGACAAACAATGACTAGTATTCACATAAGAGGACTTGACAGCACCATTTGTCACATAGCGTTTATCTGAAATTATTTTTGTAATATATTTGCTAATTGCCCTTAAAAACTAATTTCTCATTTCTTTTTGGTTGGAGGTAGATTTGCAATTTGGAGTCAGGTGTCAACTGAAGTTAGACTCCAGAAAATTGTATTCTGGAATACTTGAGCATGGAGACTGCACATGGACATTAGGGTGTGTGCTCTGAGATAAACGAAAGCTACAGTGAGAGAACATAACCAATCCCAAAGATAATTTCAAAGAACAATGACAGCAAAGGTTAGGTGGGAGTAGTATTTGACAATGCTTATTTGATATTGTCTCTCAGAGCTGCAAACTAGATTATACAAGTCATTAGCGTCAGATAGCTTTAAAGTTGTGACCTTCCTTTACATGAATTTTCTAGCCAGTTTCCTATCCTTTGCAAGAGGTAACAAAACATGAAACCCTAGAATGTGTGAGTTCAGGCATTAGGTATATAATAAGGAGGCTCTCTGTCCAGGGCTGCTTTCTGTCTTGCAGGGGCTAGTGAGTCTTGTGTGTTTTTATTTTATTCTCACATTTGTGTTTTTTTAGAAAAGTGAATGATCAATAATGGCTTATCTTTTATAATAAAATCTTCCATTTTTAATAAGGTGCTCCTGGAAATCCCTCACAGAGCCAAAAGGAAGTTTGGAGAGCAGCCATAAGGATAAGAATGATGTGAGATGAATCTGGGGTTGCACAGCTAGTACCCTAGTTTCTCTGAAATTGTTTCTTCTAAGCCCACTCCCCATCCTTCTCCTGCCTGTTTTAGATATGACCTTTACATTACTCAAGGACAAGCAATAAAATATTTTGCACTTTGTTTTATTTCTTTCAAGGAACTTCACAAGAGCAGTCCTGTATCTGCTTTTCTTACCATTGAACCTACAGTGCCCAGCACATAGTAGGCACTCGACACATACTTGTTAAAGGAATGAACAAACAGATGAGTGACCAAACTGGAAACAACCATCAAATACAAGGATAATACAAAAATCCATGATTCCTGTCCCGAGATTTCTTTCTTTTTTAACCTTTTGTCTGTTGAGATTCATTTATGTGCAGTGAAGTGCACCCTTATTAGTATACAGTTCTGTGAATTATGAGAAATGCATACAGTCATGTGGGCACTAACACAATCAAGATAAAGAACAACAACAAAAAATTTCCTCCTGTGCTTTGAAAGTCAACACCTCCCCCACCTTTTGCTCCTGGCAACACTAATATGTTTTCTGTTCCTGTGGTTTCACCTTATCTCTAATGTCACAGAAGGTAGGCTTTAAGTCTGGTCTCTTTCACTTAGTGTAATGCATTTGAGATTGATCCAAGTTATTGCATGTATTAATAGTCCACTCCTTTTCAATGATGGTCAGGATTCTGTTGTGTGGATGTAATATAACACAGAGCTTATTTAGCAATTCACTCAATGAAGATCAGTTGGGCTATTTCCAGGGTATTTCGGCTATTATGAGTAAAGCACATATAAAAATTTGTACACACAGTCTTAGAGGACATAAGTTTCACTTGGCTAAATGCCTAGGAGTGAAATTGCCAGGTTGTACAGTAACCCTATGTTCAATTTTATAAGAAATTGCCATACTTCTGAGATGGGAGAGTTCCCTTGACCCCTTCTCGGGACTTGCGACAGGGGTGTGGCCTACTTACTTGGCCACCACCATGCTCAAACTCTCTGTGGGAGCGGGAGCACGCAGGCAAGCGGGTGCCAGGGCTTCGATGAGCACTTTTGGGCTCCAGCCCAACAGCAGCATTTAGGGATGTGTTACAATTCATGCTCTTTTAGCAGTTGCCATCCGTGGACAGCTAAGTGTTAACCCACTCAATGGAGAGTCAGGGTGGCAGCCTTTTACACCCTGCCCTGTTGGTACCCAGGTTCTTGTTCAGCATCCAGGAAGAATCAGGTTGCATGAATGGTTTGAAAGTTGATGGATGTGGACGATTTTATTAAATGGTGGAAGTGGCTCTCAGTGGAAGGGGAGCTGCAAAGGGGATGGTGCAGGAAGAAAGTGACCTTTCCCTGAAGTCTGCTGTCTCTGGCCGGGCTCCTCCCTGAAGTCATGCCACCTGAAGTTAAGCCACATCTCTGACACTCAGTTGCTTCTTCTCCTCTTGATGTTCAGCCGCTTGTCTGTCTGCCAGCTGAGGTCTGGGGTTTATATGGGCACGGGATAGGGGGGCTGGACAGGCTAAAGAGTAACATTTGGGCAGGATAACAGGGATAACTGTTCTCATTTAGGGCTTCGGTTTCAAGGCTTGAGGGTGGGACCTTTGCCAGTGAACCACCCTCTTCTACCCAGTAAAGCCCTGCCTTCTGTCCTTATCACTTCTTTCCAAAAAGGCTGTCATTTTGCATTCTCATCAGCAATGCATGAGACTTCCAGTTGCTTTGCATACCTTGCCATACTTGATATTGTCAGGGTTTTATAGCCATTGTAATAAGTATGTAAAAGTGTTCCATTGTGGATTTGATTTACACTTCCCTAATAACTACAATGTTTAGCATCTTTTAATGTTCATCTGTATAGTTCCTTTGGTGAAATGTCTGTTCAAATATTTTGCCCATTTTGTTACTGGGTGTTTGTTTTCAGATTTGAGAGTTGTTGATACTATATTTTCTACAGGTCTGTGGCTTGACTGTTTTAACCTCCTTCTGACTTTTCTAAGAAGACAACGTGATTTATAAACGTAAATATCTGTAGTGGAAAAACTCCCATGGCCCATCTGTAATTTCAGACCTGGGATTCCCCAGAGGTTCGAAGCTCTCATTGACGGGTAGTTGCTGGTTATGGCCAACAGCCAGGTTGGTTCAGGCACTGACATGTTAGGACATTCTGCACATGCGTGCCTCTAACACTCCTCCCCCAGCCTCTTCCTTCCCTCTGCAGAGACACCCTTCTCCTTTCTGCTGTCTCTGCACGGGTGGCCAGAGCCACACAGCCCTTTCTTTAAGTCAGGAGTTGCCCTGTCAGAGCACAAGGCAAGAAGGAAGTGGTAAAGGGACGGAGGGGAAGCCCTGAGAGGACTGAGAGGATGGGAAATTCTCTGCTGAGAGAAAACAGGTAAGTCTAGACTCCCTGTGGGAGAGCAGAGGAGATGGGACAGGACAATACAGCAAGGAAGAGAAAAAGAAAGCTAGTATACAGTTAGCACACTAAGTTGGGGTAGAAAGTAGTTGGGTAAGGAAACTGCCAAGCCTTCAGTGCCTACTCTGTGCCAGATACCACATTAAATTTCCCATAGGTTTTGCCTTCTCCCAAGAATCATGGTGAGCAGCTGATGGAGAATAGCTGAAAGGTGGAAAGACTTTACCAAGGAAGGTCTATATAATAGGTTACCACCTAAGAAATGAAACAACTTTCTGAAAGCCCGGGAAGGAGATGCTCTCCTGAGCTCCTCATGCTCCACAAGGAGGTCAAAATCACCACCCTCTTTCAGCCACTATTTTAAGTTTGAAATAAACAGCAAGCTTCCTGCCACCTTGAGTCTTCCTTTGATGTGCACTCCCTGCAAGCAGGTAAGCAGAGGTCATCTAGATTAAATAGGCACAGAACTCAGATTTACTTTCTGGACCTCAGCCTCTTTATTTTAAGTAGAAATAATAATACAATATCTACCTTAGAGAGTTCTAGTGTGTATTGTGCTAGCATAGTGCCTGACATAAAGTAGGGTTCAAAATTAGAAGATATTTTCTGCTTTCTTTTTCTGACCATCATCTTCCTTAATATCAAAGCCGTGCCACCAAAATAGTGCCACCACAGACAAGGTAATCTCTAGGGTATAAAGTGGGGTGATCTAGAGAGAGTAAGCGAGCCAGAGGGGGTCTTCACAGGGTTATGTTTGGAATCCCTGGTCTCAGTTCATGCTACTGGAGAGTGGAACACAGGAAAAAATGGTAGCCCACTTTTGACCACTTGCCGAAAAGAGGATTGGTGGTCCTGTGGAATATCTCATGTCCCTTCCTAAGAATCATGTTGTCTGAGACTTCTCTACCCTGGGTTGTCACAGCCCCTTGTCAATCTTCTACTCTAGCATTGTTCTAACAATTATATAAATTACTATTTTTATTACTAGATATGAGATGCTCAAATGTAGTGATTGTTTCTTATTTATCTTTGAATTCCTGGTTCCTGGCATTGTTTCTGGCATATCACGTGCACTGAATAAGTGCAAAAAAACTTTAAAAAAATTTTTTTACTTTAAAATTTTGTTTTATGTAAGAAAAAAAACCTTTTTCCAAGGTGCACACATCTTATGCTATTTGGACTTCTTATGGTTTTTTATTTATTTTAAAGAAAATTCGATTTTAAATCTAGAAAGCTTTTTGGTTTCTGCCATTGCATTCATGCTTAAAATTCTTTGCTCTTCCTAAGATAAGACAAATCAACTCACATAAGTTTTGATTTTGTTATTTTACATTTGGCAACATATATTCAATATATGGTGTCAGATGTAAATTTTTTTCCAAATAGTTGATCAGTTTGCCCAACATCTTTATTTCTATGATGATTTAAAAGGTCTCCCTTGAACCAAGTGCAGTGGCATGCACCTGTAGTCCCAGCTACTCAGGAGGCTGAGGCAGGAGGATTGCTTGAGCCCAGGAGTTTGAGGGCAGCCTGAACAACATAGCAAGACCCAGTCTTAAAAATAAATTCATTAAAATAATTAAATAAAATGTTTCCGTTAACGTATTCAAAAGTCTTGTATATATTGGTATCTAATTTTCATTGTCACCCCAACACCCAGTTATCATCTAGTCAGCATACCCCCCCAACCGTGTCTCTCCAGATCAAATAAGCTAAGAAGTCAGGGAAATTTTGCACAGAATAGAATGGCACTCATCCCTTCATGAGAGGAGCTCAGTCTCAGAGGAAGAGACCTGCCAGCAGCAAACCCAGCTTTTCCCCCTTAGTGGCTGTGGATCCTCAGACCAGTTGCCTAGCATTTTGGGCCTCAGTTTCCTCATTAGTATAAAAAATATAATGATAATATCTATCTTATGGATTTATTCTGGGATTAAATGAAATATAACACACAAAATGATTGGCATATAGTAAGTAGTGTTTAAGTGTTAGTTTCTTTATCCTCATACTCCCAATTCCCAACAAGTGGGAAGATGGGTATACAGAAATCTAACCCAAACAATGAACCAATTTATTTTCTTTATTCAATCCTTTTCTTCTCCTTCTGTCCCTTGTTCTGGGCCTCCATGCTTTCTGTGAAAGATGGTGTGATTTACACAAGACAAAGCCAGTACCTTTCCCCATTACTTGTGCATAGCTCCTGGAACTGCACCAAAGAGATGGTAGCTGAGGACCTCAGGCCTCTCTCTGGACACGGATACTCTCAAGGGTCATGACGAGGATCCCTGGATATTTGGGATCAGATGATTTAGGATCACTTGTTCATGGAGGTTGGAGAACATCAGTGGGCTGTTGCTGTGGCAATGGAGAGCATGTCAGATCAAAGGTAGCTTGCGACATGTGCTTGAGGAAACAGTATTAACATGTGTGAGGGCAACCAGTCAATTTCTGAGTTACACACAAATAGCAGAAATGAGGAAAGTCGGAAAAATTATGAAAAGAAGTGACAGGCCTGTTTAGGAAATACTTAGCCTGTTTCTGATATGTTGAGTTTCAGGCGGCAGCAGAACACTCAAGAGATGCCTTGGAATGTGAGAATGCAAAGCCCCAAACAGAGAACATCCAGGTGAGAGCAAAATCAACCAAACACCCCCCAGACCTTGCCCAAGGAGAACGAAGTATGTCAAGCCCTGGACTTCACATCCCAGTGAGAGAGGGCCCTGTTTAGACCAGTAGCAGTTGCAATAGTAACAAATGTGAAGACAGGACAAAAGATAAAATGCTTGAAAACTTTGGACAGGAGATATGCTACTTTGCTAGAAGCCTAATGTAACTCCTAGCAACAGGAACTAAGACCCTGCTAGTCCCTGTTATGCCCTGTTATAAAATAAAAGGTCTTATTTCCTGTTGTCATTTTGTTTGTCTATCTCAGGTACCTTTGTGCTCAACCTCCACCCTAGCCATTTTATTTTAAGCTATAGGTGTCTATTTCTGAAGTGACCACATGCCCCATGTTACGACAATTTTTAGAAAGTTTGTGGAGACACCATTGTGATTGCCCTGATGTTGTTAAACAAAGACCACCTCATTAATTCTTTTTGAACAGACCTTTCAAATGTCCAGCCCTAAAGAATTCTCTCTAAGGAAAGGAATAATTAAAATATGGAACTAATGTTCCAGGATCCAAGAATCCTAAGGGCTGACAAGGTCAGTTTTTCTGTGGCCTGTAAAGTTATCTGTGCTTTTCACATGGTTTCAGGAGGAGATTTTGAAAGAGGAGCAATTAAAAAACAAGCACTGTTGTTATTTTCTAACACCAATGCCCGCGTTAGGGGCTGGAGACCCAGAGATTCCTTTCAACAGGGTGAATTTTTTCAGTTCAAGTTGAGAATTACATATTTTCAGGGGTATCATTGGGCATATTTTAAGGCATACAGTTCAAATGATGAAATAAATCAGAAGGGCCACGGCATTATAACAAGGGAGAGGTTGGGTAGACCAGAGAGCCAGAGAAGGCATTGTGAAAGAGACAGATACCTCAAATTCCTGACACGTAGCCTAAGGGTATAGAGATTTGTCTAGCTTGCTTCTTGGAGGCTATCTGAACCCATCCCAAACCAAAACCACCATGTTGAAATGCAAGAATAAACTGCAGAAAAGTCAAGTAGGAGAAACAGCCAGCTTACAGATCGTTTTTGCCCATATTTAACCTCAGCTTATTCTTATAACTCCATGTGTAAGCAGTATATACATCCTCTTTTATAGATTTAAAAACTGTGGCCTCAGGAGTTCAGAGAATATCTCTCAAAATCATCCCCCTCCTCTTATCTCATTCATTTCTCCTCAGTGAATCTGGTTTGTTAACTTGGTGTGATTCAGTAGTTTTCTTACGATGTTTCCTTAGCAACAAAGCAGATAATGTAAGCAAACGGTCTGAAGCACATTGAAGGTAACCTAAAGAAGAGGAAGAGCTGCAGCTGTGCCTCTGGGCCCCAAAGGCTTTGATGATGCATAGATCTTAGAGGTTGTCAGAATGCTCAGCCAAGCAGGTGATCACAGCCAAGGTCACGATGCAGTCAGCCTCTCCTCCACTGCTCCTCCTGATGAAACTTCATGGGAAAGCTCACGGGGGGAGATATTTTTGGATGGTGTTTTCCAAACATTTTTACATACTGTAACTGATACTACTTTATAAAGGGCTTTCACATTCAACCATGTAGGTAGTTGACTATGCCTCAAATTCAGAAAAATGTACAGAATGATACTTATACATTAATGTAGATGCAGGACTGCAGAGAGATTCTAAGCCTTTGTGCTATAAGAGAGAGAAGTCCTGTTATTTAACTATATCGTTGGAGTCAAGGTGGTAGATTTGCTGACCTCCTGCACCAGGGTTGTCCTGTCCTTGGCTATTCATTCTGTATTCATATCTTCATCAAATATTTTTTGAAAACCCATTTACTGTGTGCCAGATGTTGTGTCATAGACTGGAAATACATACCACGATGAACAAGATCAATATGGTCCCCAGCTTTGTGAAGCTCACATTCTAGTGTAGAATATAGACAAGTGAGCAAACAATTGCAATATACTGTAAATTGGAGAAATTCAGAATATAGTAAAATACTGATATTGCCTAACCCATACCTGAAAAAAATGATTTGTAAAATTTCCATACACTTGTACCTTGATTTCCTGGGGATAACACTTACGTGTTCTTCATTACAAGGGAACCAAGGAAATTACCAGAATTGAGAGTGAGGAAACATTTTTCCTTTGCTGGGAACACAGCAGAAAGCTTTTTTCCTGATTAGGAATTTGATAGTATCATCTTCATCCTAGGAAGACAAAGGCATTCTACCATGAGAGATGTGTCCAAGTTATCTAGAATGAAACACGCTTGCGGGGAGAAAAAAAGTTTTCCACAGAAATGGCAAAAGGAAAGGAGTCACCTTAACAAAGCTGCAGAAATCAACCTTATGATTTGCCATCTCTCTTGGGTATTTTAGATGCTGGGATCACCATATCGCTGAAGGGTGTTTCTGCCTTCCATGGTGAGTGGACAGTTGTTTTTAGGAGTTATTTCCCTAAGTGTGGTTTCAATGTGGTATTTGCTGTAAGTTACCTGTGACTGTCTGTGGCCACAGTGGAAGCCTGTCAGTAGCCCAGATACAATCACCTAAGAGTTAATCAGGGAAGCAATCCTTCCAATTTGATGAGAAACAGGAACAATAGTCTCATGGGTCGCATGCTCTCCTCAAACAGGAAAGCCTCAGAAGCAAAGATGAAACTAGCTACTAACGTAGAAAACATACGTTTTTTTCACACTGCAAATCTGAGTCTGCATGTTCCGAAGCACACATTTCTATCCCTTGCACATAGAACTTATAGTCGGGGTGATAGTATAATTTATCATCTGAACTAAGATACCTTTGAGAGTGAAAGGGATGCTAAAAATAGTTAAAGCTCGCTAAGTGATTGATAATGACCTTCACCAGACTGAGGCAAACCAGGACATAGGGTTACCCTCACAGCAGATGTTCTTGTCTACTGAAACGATAGTGGGCTTCCATTATATTTATATCACATTTTTTCAGGGAGTCTTTTTACAGTGTTCCCTTATGCGAAGAGTGTGTTTATTTGTTTGTTTGTTTTGGAGATCATAGATTAGAATTGAGATTGAAAATAATCCTGGCTCCTTCACTCACATGATAGAAAAGAAATTGATACTTTGTCAGAAAAAAAGTCTCCAAAAAAGTAACCTCTATCACCATATTTCCCCATCTATAAATCAATTCCCTATCAGATTTAGAAAAGAAAGAGAGGAGGAGAGAGAGAAAGAGGCACAAAGGAATATATTTCTATTTGGCCTCATCTTTTACTTTTTTCTTTTTTACTTAACTCATCTATGCTGAAGGAGGTATTATAAAAGGTATATAACTTTAACAAAGAGTTAAAAGTAAGTTTTGTAGGCTTGTGTCATTTCCTTTGAGAGTTTCTGAATATTAAAACAATTTGCTTTGCTTTTCTTTTACAGGAAAAAAATACTCATTTTTGAAAAGAGGCAAGATTCCCAAAACGAAAGTAAGTCATTGATTTCCTAGTATTTTCACTTTTGATAAGACTTACATTTCCAAACTACTTCTTCTCTATGTTCCCAAAGCCCCTTAGGCATATTTCAATTACAATATCTACACATTTTGCTTTACTGTATCCAATTGCATGTCCTTTGTCCTCAGTAGATGGTGAGCTCATTGAAGCAGGAATTGGCTCATTAATCTCCAAATTCCTCAGTTAGTGCCTGAGGCCTGGAGGCTGAAGGCAGTAACTGGGGGCAAGGATACAAAAGGTGGAGGAGAAAGGCACTTACAAGAAACTGCAAGAAAGCCAGCCTGGGATAGGGGAGGGGTGGGGCCTCCTGGCCAAGTTAAAGATTTTCATCTTTGTCCTGACAGCTGCAGGAGATACTGGCTTTACACAGTGGGGAGGCGGGGGCAAGTATGATTAGATTTGTATTAAAGATATCACCCAGGTTCCTGTGCAGAAAACAAATTGCAGCAAGGAGCCGGAAGAGCAGATACCAGAAGAACACTTACGAGGCTGGTGCAGTAGTCTCTGGTGATAGAATAGCACTGAAGTTAAGGAGAAAGAATTCTAGAAGGAGAGTGTGATGAATTGTATCACACCTAAAAATAAAAATAAGAAAGTGTAGGCCTGAGGACAAGCCATTGTGTTTCTGAAGAAGAAAAATGGAAGAGTTTTGACTTTTCCTTCCTTAAAGAGGAGAACCTAATTCATTTACATAGAATCTTAAAATCTAGCCCTGCAAGATGTGTAAATGAATAATACAGCCTCCCACCCTAGCCACTTCACTCCAGGAGTCGTGGGTCCCAGGGAACCTCAATTTCCATCAGAGCAAAACGTAATAGAAATAAGACCAGATGCTAAAACTCTATGCTGAAGATGCTTTTCTTATAATGATAATCAGGGAAGTTTTAGATGCCTATAGGAGCTTATGGAGATGTGGAAATCCAGGATGTGAGGACCGAGAGAATGTCAATCCATATACCATATGGTAGCTTCCTCTGTAGACTTTCATGTGAGGGCACATGTTTGTTTATGGAATTGGTGTGTTTGCAAGAGGGTAGCAAGGGTGTCAGTTTGCCTCTTTGCTGAATGGCCAGAGCCATTTGGTTTTAACTAGGCTTTGAAAAATCGCCCTGCTCATTTGTTATCTGCCAGCAGGTATAGGAATGGGAATATTTAGCTTAAGAGTTTCCTGCTCTGCAAAACTCCTTGAACACCAATTATCACACCACCACCATCCCGTCACCTAGAGTAGAAACGACGGCCCTCTGCTCCACAGTGTGGATCTCTCAGAGCCCCTTGTCTGTCTCCTGTGCTAGCTTGTGAGCCTTTTGAGGACAGAGAATGTTTCTGATTCTCCTTTGTCTCCCCAGTGCCTGGTGCAGAGGCACTGAATTTGTGTAAGGAACACAAATCAATTTTGTGTAAGGAAGGAGACGGGGCTAGGTAAGGAGGGAAAGAGAGCTGGAGGAAGAAATCGTGATTTCCTTTCCAAAGACTAACCAAATGTGTCTCCCCCCTCTCACCTCTCAGGCTGAGCACAGCTCTAGCTGTGACTTGTTTAGATGTCCTGTCACTCCCCAGGGATGTGCTGTAGATCAGAATAGCCTGAGAAGAGCTACCCCAGCTGTTTCTTGGCTTTTTAGTTATTTATATTCTAGCCTCCCCTGCTCTTCCCTTCAAATCTCCCCATAACCTGAAATTCATTGAGTGTATTTTCTTTCTCCAGATGAAAGAATGTCATCTACTCCCATCCAGGTAATAAGAACATCTCTAAGCTATTTTTTGAGATGATGATAGAAGTACAGACACCCTAAATGGCAGGAGAAGTTGGCCTCTGAGATCCCTTCTGACCCTTACATGGAGAAAGACTTTAGATGTCAGTGCTTGTGAACTCGGGTGGCAGGTGCAGGGCCGGGTGGCAGAAGCAGCAGCCACTTCTGCTGTATAATTTATTGAAAGGAACTTAAATTTACTGACCACTTCATTTATGACAGACAACATGCTGAGTGCTTTACACACATCAACTCATGTAGCTAAAACGACAACCCTTGAATATTGCTACTATAATCCATCCCATCCCCCGATTTTATAGATGAGAAAACTGAGAGATTAAGTGACAATTCCCCAAAGCCAAATAGCTAAAAGGGGGCGGAACCAGGATTCAAAACCAAGTCTCACTTCACAATCCATGCTTTTCCCCCTGTACTTTGCTGCTTTGCTTTTTATCTCCTGATATCCCATCATAAGTGAAACCTTCCCTTGAGTCGCTTCCCTATTTAATAACATAAATATCTCTAGAGGGTAATTAAATATCACAGCCAAAACACATTAAGATATCATAAGATTATTTATATTTATTTATTTATTTTTTGGAGACAGAGTTTTGCTCTTGTCACCCAGGCTGGAGTGCAATGGCACGATCTCAGCTCACTGCAACCTCCGCCTCCTGGGTTCAAGCGATTCTCAGCCTCAGCCTCCCCAGTAGCTGGGATTGCAGGTGTGTGCCATCACACCTGGCTAATTTTTGTATTTTCAGTAGAAATGGGGTTTCACCATGTTGGCCAGGCTGGTCTCGAACTCCTGACCTCAGGTGATCCACCCACTTCGGCCTCCCAAAGTGCTGGGATTACAAGTGTGAGCCACCGTGCCCAGCCAGATTATTCTTTTTTATTAGAATGGGCTATCCTCAGAGCCATGAGACTGGGAATTATATGGGTAGTGTCTTAGTCCACTTGTGTTGCTATAAAGGAATATGCAAAGCTGGGTAATTTATAAAGAAAAGAAGTTTATTTGGCTCATGGTTCTTCAGGCGGTACACTCATAACTGCGAGGATGGCACTAAGCCATTCATGAGAAATCTGCTCCCATAACCAAAACACCTCTCACTAGGCACCACCTCCAACAATGGGAACAAAATTTCAACATTAGATTTGCAGGGGACGAATATCCAAACTATATCAGGTGGTCAGAGGTCACTCTGGAACAAGGGGCAGAGGATGCACCTGAGCAGGCTCTAGACCTTAAGCACTCTTGCAGCTAGCCTAGTGGTTGGGGTAGAAGCAGCCATTTAGAAAAAAATGGCCAAGAGATGGGGAGGAGGTGGTCATAGAAGACAGACTTGACCAAGGGTCAAGCCTGTGTTGAGACTGAAATGTAAAGGTCATGGCAAGAGACCAAATCTTGATGATGGTTCTTCTTTGACAAGCAGGACAATGTTGACCAGACCTACTCAGAGGAGCTGTGCTATACCCTCATCAATCATCGGGTTCTCTGTACAAGGCCATCAGGGAACTCTGCTGAAGAGTACTATGAGAATGTTCCCTGCAAAGCTGAGAGACCCAGAGAGTCCTTGGGAGGAACTGAGACTGAGTATTCACTTCTACATATGCCTTCTACAGACCCCAGGCATGCCCGATCCCCAGAAGATGAATATGAACTTCTCATGCCTCACAGAATCTCCTCTCACTTTCTGCAACAGCCACGTCCACTTATGGCCCCTTCTGAGACTCAGTTTTCCCATTTATAGTGAAGTGGCTGGACTAGCATTTGTTTAGCACCAACAAATAAAAGGTGGGATGGGGGATCTGCCTGAAGCAGGGATGGGACACAAAGTCCCTCCAGCTTATCTCCCACAACAACCCTTTCCCTGCAGAGCATGGTTTGTATACCACAAGCCCTCTTAGCACGCAAAAGCCAAAATCTAAAGATCAACCATTTATCCTGAACAACACCATTTGAGAAAGAGGTAACCATCTTTGGTTCTACATGGTTTGGAGAGTATAGTGGTAGGAGGGGCTCCCTGATTCCCCTAAAGCTATGCACACCACAAGGGGCTCTGCTCTTCTGTCTGGGATCTTCTTATAAAGTGTTCCCATGATCATTCTCTAAAGTCACAAGGAAGCTTTACTCATCATACTAAGTGTGCCCAAGGGGGAGTTCACTCATTACTGTGACCTTCCAGCTCAGTCCCCACCCATGGGAGCCTGTGTTGCTCCTCTCACTCCATGTGTCTAAGTCATGTCTTTTACATAGTGTCCTTTGACCTGTTGGCCCCCATGGTCTGGTTAGTTATGTGAGTTGAATCAAGAGGCTCTAGGCCAGATGTTTACATAATTTTAACCTATATGATTTTATTTTTAACTTTGTATTTCTCCCTAGAAATCTTAATAAGACAATTATGCCATCAGACAATGTTAAGAAGAACGATCCTTGGAGATCCCGTAATCCCACTACCCTTCTTTGGCTCAGAGAGGATAATTTGCCTAATGATACATTAAAGTTAGTGGCAAAACTTAATTTGGAGCCTGATTTCCTACTGACTTCCAATTTAGTGCTCCCCCAGTATGCTAAATAGAAAGCCCTCTGCAATATATTAAATGTATACTAAATGTATATATTTAATAATGTCATGTATAAAATATGAATAAAATGTCCACATAGGAAATTAACACATATATACCTTCTCTGATAAGCACTCCTCTATGTGTCCTGATTATTTACTTTCTCTTATCTTTTCCTTAGTGTTCCTCAAATTATATCTATCCTCTAAACCAGGGATCAGCAAACTATAACCCCCAGGCCAAATCTAGCCCACTCCCTGTTTTTATAGATAAAGATTTGTTGGAACACAGCCACACTCATTTGTTTACCTACTATCTATGATTGTTCAACCATGGGAGAGTTGAGTAATTGTGACATGGACCATAGGCCCTAAAGAGCCAAAATAAATATACTTTGGCACTTTTTGGAAAAAAAGTTTGCAGACACCTGCCCTAAATGATTATAGTTTGAGAGAAACTTAACAGAAATGTGTTTGGTTACTGATGCATAAGAGCAAGCACCAATAAAATGGCATAAAAATATTAAATCACAAATGGATAAGTGAGACCAAGGCAATTTAGCAAATTCTACTATTTCTGTATTCACACCTGTGTCTTCCACTTGCTGTTTTATTTAACTCACGGCTACTGTCCTAATTTTAGGGATGCTAAAATAGTTTGTTTTAAAAGAGGTTTGTTTAAGAAAGCAGTAGGTACATTATGTTTACTAGACAGGCCCTTGGACCAGCTAAGCGACAGGGAACCTGGTACATTATGTTTAGTTACTGTTTTCTTCTCAAAGTTAACCAAAGCTAAATAACTTTCCTATGTAAAATGTGCTGACTCCCAAAAGAGGAGAAATGCAATGGCTTGAGCTTGCATGTGTCACAGGTTTGTGGAGCCTTCAGCCAGGTGATGGTCTTCAGCTAAAGAGCCAGCTGCATCTTGGTATCTCTTCCTCTGCTAACTTCCTACTTTTAGCAAAATTCTTTCACTTGGAACTCTAGCTGATCCTTGGCCAGGATCAGATCCTCAAAAGGAAATATTCAGTTAGCAGTGGATATTGTACAAGATGTAACATGGCTTAGAGGAAAGAGTGTAGACCCAGCGACAGATCATCAGTCACTCAAATCCTGGTTCTCTCTCTTCCTCCATCTGTGACTTTGAACATGCTACTTGGAGGCTCAGCTTCTTCACCATCAACAGGAGGATTACATCTAATGCAGGCAATCATCTATTACAGATGCCGAATAAATGATATCAAAGAGCATAGAGAAACAAAAATCTTTTATGATGTACGGAAAAAAACCATGCTGATACAGCTGGCTATTCAGGGTCACCCAGCAGTCCTCCAGCAAGGTAGAAACACCAAATCAATGAGTTTATGCTAGAATTTTTCACATGGCCACTGGACCATTGTGGAAGTAGACTGGTTGAAATATTCTTAGTATGACATAGTAAGTTATATTTGTTTGAACCTTATCCTGTGAAAGCATTATCTGTCCCAAACAGTATATGCCTTTTATCAGGGACACATTAAATATAAATGTTTAACCAAAGAAAGTTGTTCTTATAATGTAATTATAACAGGGATTTATAAGAGGGAATTATAAGAGGGATTATGAAAGGGAATTACTTTTGAGCAAGGGGAGCCATTTGGGAGTGCTTCAAGATACCCAATATGATATACACAATTATGATTTGTCAGTCAAAAATAATATTAAGAACAAAAAAAGAGTTAAAAAATTCTGATATGAGTGTAATATACTTAATATGTAGGATGTCTCAAATTTCCAGTAAATAAATTTTAATGTCCCAAAATACCCACTATGTCTGTATGTAACACTGATCCTGTTTCCCCTACATTTCATGATTTCTAATGAAAGCTGTGCACTCCCTTTGCAGAAAATGCACATTCACATACACACACATTTGTATACGATGTGTGCGGGGGTTAGGGATGCAACCCCTCAGTGAAAGAGTCCCTGTCCCTGATAAAGAACCTGAGCCTGAGCATTTAAATTACTCTCTCGAGCCACAAATATAACCAGAAAACTCCTCCTCCCTCATGCTGGTCTTAAAACTACATAGCCAAAATTCAGAGGCACAATTTATGCCACAACTGCAGACTTTGTGGTTTCCGTTTCACGTACATACTAGCATCTATAAATAATCCCTTATTCTGTGAATAAATTCTTATTTAAAACAGAAGAGAAAAATAGGAAGAGGGCAAAGATAGGGCGGGAAAATCTGTTGACAACAAGTTGAAATGCTAACGTTTTTTAGGACAAACTTGAGTGATAGATGCTTCGGATAGTCTCAGGGATGGGGAAGGGCATGGACAGAACAGGAAATAGAAGTCTCCAGGATTCCACAAGGGCTCCAGGGAAAAGTAGATTCTGTTTCCACTTATCTCTGTTCTTTTCCAAGCCTATAGCCTCAATTCAGAAACCCACTTGATCTGAGTGTACCTTGGCTCTGCCAACTGTGAAGTGGACCAGTGTAAATTCCGTCTACTTTCCTACAGAATTCTCTTTTGCAAGGCACTTGGTGAAGCCTTGAGAGGTCATCATCATCATAGAAAGCCTCCTGCAGTCTGAGGGCCCTCCCTCTCCATTCACCCCTGACCCCTGATCACTTGTGCTCCTTAGGGATTCCCAGATGTCAGCTAAGCCTGAACTGAGCCTGCCTCTGGGGATCCTACCTGAGCTGGTGGCCATTCATAGTATGTGGTTGCCCTGTGGGCTAGGCTTTGCCCTCAACAAGCTGTGGAACTCTGGGCTGGTCCTCCCAGCTCTCCAGAATTTGATTTCCCAACTGTGAGATGAGGGAGGTGCCTTTTGAAGCTGAGTCTGTAATCTCTAGTCACAAAGGAAAGATTCAAGGATGTCTGTGGATAAAGCTGCCAACAATGCAGCAATTGTTAATTCACAATGCAGTGTAAATTAACTTATTTTAAAGCAATGAAAGAGTGATGGGAGAGGAGAAGGAGGACATTGAGAGATTTCTCCCATTTTTTCTTAGCATTGATCAGACTCTGAATAGGACAGGATTCATGTCCAGAATTCACATGTAAAAGACAAAAGAGAGAATATGTACCTCATCCTAAGAAGACACGAACATGTGTAAAGGAAGGCAAATCTTCTTATTCAAATCCCACCAGTGCTTCAGGATTCGGCTTCAGTCCTACTTCCTACAAAAAAACGTCCTCTGATTATACTGACCACTCTTTTCTCTGACCACCCGCAACCCTACTGTTTCTGTTTGTTTGTTTGTTTGTTTGTTTGTTATGGAGTTTCACTCTTGTCACCCAGGCTGGAGTGCAATGGCGTGATCTCAGCTCACTGCAACCTCTGCCTCCTAGGTTCAAGCGATTCTCTTGCCTCAGCCTCCTGAGTAGCTGGGATTACAGGCGCCTGCCACCACGCCTGGCTAATTTTTAGTAGAGATGGGGTTTCACCATGTTTGTCAGGCTGGTCTCGAGCTCCTAACCTCAGGTGATCTGCCTGCCTCGGCCTCCCAAAGTGCTGGGATTACAGGCTTGAGCCACCGCGCCCAGACTGCCTTTGTTTTTGACCCCTGGGTATTTTTTTCTGCTGTTTCCTGTTTCATCTGTACTGATCCTGACTCCTTAATAAGACTAACAGCTTCTTTTCTTATTGTTGTCTTCTCCACTAGTATCCCCATAGCCTTCCATAAAACACATCATTTTTTCAAATCTGTAGAACTAAATTAAATTGAAAGGCAAAAAAGAATCAGACACATGGCTGGAATTTTTGTTGGCAGAGGAACAGGAGCAGGTTCTGCTGATATGGCTGTTGCCATTCTATCCATATCTAAGTGACATCCAGAGAAGAGCAGTTTTCTTCTCAAATCCTTCAATTATTAAAACCTCACTATGTACCAGGCATTATGCTCATCATGATGTTGTGTGATGACCAGTAGATTTATCTCCTATAGCAGAACAGTGCATTTGTAAGGGCCGTTTTTTTTCAAACACCACCAAATATGTTAGTCACAAAGGTTAGTTTTTTCCCATACCATTTGGGCAGAAAAGTCAAATCTATGGAAAGTCCTCTCTATGACTTGCAAATGGTCAAAACCCAAGACAAGGTACTTGCATCTTGGTGCTTTCTGAACAAGAAGGGAAGAACAAAACCAAATCCTGCCTCCAGACATGAACAGGCTGTTCCTTCAAGTCCAAGCCCTTTCAGATACCAAGTCCTGCCAGAGAGGGCCTCAGAGAAAGAGGAGGGGATGGCCTCTGCCTGCTCTTGCTGGAACAGAGGGGAGAACCCAGGCCGCCCCAGCCAAACTTGGCTTGATCTTATTCACCCAGAAGAGGAAGCTGCCCTAAGGGAAATGAAAAAAATTATGCTCAACACCATTTACTGCAAAAAACAAACAAACAAAAACCCAGCCCAAAGCTCAGCCAATGGGAATGCAACAACACAGATGCAAAAATAATGTATTGTAAATGTTTTTAAATCATTCTCCATTAAAATTTTTCATTATTTTCTACAAAATACAAATACACTAAGGTTCACATTTAACATGCAGAAAATAAAGAGGAAGAAGAGAAATCCACTAGTTTCACTAGTTTAAGGAACAATCACTAAAATGAGACAATGATCTATAGTACATGTATCTTCTAGTTAAATAGGAAAGCAAATTCACATTATCCAGAGTCCTGGGTCATAAAGAACTCAAGTCAAATCTAGTCTGAGGCAGACACTCTGGCTCGTGCCCGCACACAGCTGCCCTTCACACTGACTTTAACCCAGGGCTCATTTAACTGAGAGGCGAGATCTCTCACAATACAGCACAAAACTCTTTCTCCTGGTAAATTTCTTTTCCCAACAAAACAATCAGTTCCCTCACAACAGGCAATTCTGTATCTGTAGACAACCAATACAGTTGCTAATATTCCTCCTACCCCCCAAATAGCTGGCAAAAGCTTCCAAGAGTTTATTTTCAAAGAAGAGTGGTTCTTCTTGTATCACAACCATCTGTAACAGGATACACAATCATTGCCTGAAGACACTGAGTCCCACAGGAAGGTTTGTAGCACTAGGCAACAAAAAGCCAATGCGTAATATCCAGAGCAGATATTAAACAGCCTTAATGATTCTCTAATGGAAGTTTATAAAAATATAAATGGAGTGACTATCCAAAGTGATAGTAGTGTGCTCAAAACTCACAGAGACCCATATTTCCAAAAAGGTGTTCAGGAATCACAGGAACAACGAGGAGCTGCAAAATAATGAAGAAACACATAGCTCCCGTCTGTAACTAGCTATATACATAGATTTCAAAGTAACCTTGGTGGTGTTCCTAAGGCTGGCTGGCTAAGATACTCAGGTACAGGTCATGGAAGTAGACACAGAACCACACTGCTGAGGTCTTCTAAAGTGCCTTCCTTTTCTTCACAGCCTGGCTTAGAGGTAGATCAAATCGAATGGTGGGGGGGAGGAGGATGACTTCAGTGAATAATTGGCTTAGTCTTCGTAACCTGGCTGCCTGCCTCTCCGTGCTCTACCAGCTCATGCTTACGCGATCCCACCTAAAAGAAGACAGTGCACCTCTGCACTAAAGAAAAAGTAGCCCAGGTGGGTGGAGTGCTTCAAGAATAGCAGTGCCATGATCACGCCACCGCACTCCAGCTAAGCGACAGAACGAGACCCTGTCTCAAAAAACAAAACGAAACAAAACAAAAACAAACAGAATACCAGTGACCTCCAACAGTGGGACATACCCGCTGACCCTATCGCCCCCACCCTAGCTGGCTTCCTGCCTTTGTCAAGACTGGACCCAGCTGAAGCAGTGCTCGGGAGCTGTTTTACTGGGCTTAGAGCCAGACTGTAGAATCGGGAGAGAAAGGAGTCTCCACCCCTCTGGTGTTGCTGGTGCTTCTGTATTAATCCACAGAATCTTTTCTGCAAAACAGAGTG